>NC_000003.12:110069210-110372240 GCF_000001405.40 Homo sapiens
ACCTTCACTTTTATGTCTTTTCTCTTGGTCTCATAGCCACCAGAGGAGTAAGAGACTAGAAAGGGTAAATATGAGAGGGGCAAGGTGGGGAGCAAATACTGTGAATTAGGTATGAGATCTGAGTATTACACTAGGTTGAAGTAAACTTTAACAACCAGTAGTTACCAAAAAGTTATAGAACCTTTCTAAAGCGAAGGAAAGAAGGAACTAATAGAGCAAATTTGAAAGGAATAATTGAAAAGTAAAACTAATTAATGTTAATAAAATCTATTCTACTTAAAGTCGATTTCTACTTCTCTCAAATGTTACTTATCCTTTGCTTCATCCAATCTCAGGTGTGGCACAATCTCCCTCATTCTCTTATTTTCTTTACATCTATCTCTTTATCTACATGAGTTTGTCTTGCCTGCACATGACTTAACATGGCCTTTAGGTTATATGGCCCCTGTGCAAGCTGTGATCTCACTATGTATTCCCTAATACATATTTTCAAGAGAAGACATTCAACTTTCTCAACTCATATAGTAGATGGATTCTCCTTAGGTCAATCACTGTTCCAATTAACTGTGGGCTTTTGGTATAGACAAGGCAGCAACAGTGGTGAAACTTTTCTGAGAAGGGGACACCAAAGATAGGTAATTTTTGGTGCTTACTCAAGTCAGTTTTCGTTTAGTATTTTGTGGGTTTTGGTGCCTTTTGGATGAGTCAATTTCTTCTATATGTATCTGCAACTTTCTCACATCACAAAGTGACTCTGGTATTACATCAAGGTGAATCATAATAGATCTCTTTACCTACCTATTACTTGTGAACAGAGAAGAAGTTTGTTAAGCAAGCCAGATGTGACATCTGTTCTTGGTCAGTAAGAAGGAATGAAACAAGCAAGATAATCTTCCTACAAATTACTTGCTCACGATTAAGCAAAGAGCTTCAGGTAAATGAAAAGTGCAATTGCATTAGTAATGTACTTGTTTTTCAAGGTGGAATATGAAAAATTATATATAAAGCTGAACATCACATAATTGAAACACTGAACAATGAGGTCAGACAGGCCTGAAACTCCTGTATTGCAAAGTTCTGGATGATATCTTACTCACACCATGTCCTTGAGAACAGCTGAGGGTTTGCATTTGATATGCAGCTGAGGAGGAACAGATAAGTGCTGGACAGTGTATTTTCTTGTTACTTGGCAACAGTTTCTTTTTCCTCTTAGCAACAGTAGAGAGAAAAGCTTTCTGAAAACTGAAAAGACTACAGAACAGAAAAAGTCAAAGTCTTTCATATATCCTCCAGCTGGAGGGCATATTAAAAAGAGCTGAATTTAGGAAAAAATGAAGTATACTTGTTACCCAGTTACAATCTGTTCCTATTGAAATTTAACCCCAAATTTCAATGTCCTAACCATCTAACTATTTCACCTTTTGTATCACAGTTAAGTATTTAAAAATACAGTCCTCTTGGTCAATTTATATTCATGTCAGTTTCCCAGCATGTGTGACTCAGACTAAAAAGAAACATATCAGAAAGGCAATAATTTCCAGATAACCTTTTATTATTTGGTTAACCAACCACAGCCTGGATTTCTCATTTATTTAACATTTAAGAAAGACTGCGGTTGGGTTGGGGAAGCGAAAAAGAGAAAAAGTAAGTGATTGATTTTGGCAGGCTTTTTAACTTGTAAAGAGATCTCTAGTCTTCCTCTCTGTGTCTTGGGGAAGGTAAATTTTTTAAAGCATAAAATAGAATTCTATTGTCACTGAGAATTCAGAGTGTGTTACAGCAGCTTGTGTCATTTAACTAATACATTAGTCTACAAGATAAGCAAAACTTCTTAAAAATAGTTTCAAGTCTCAAATGGACTTGATTGAGGGAAAACAATTGATACTGTATGAATATATGCTGCACTCAAATCTCATGTTGAATTGTAATCCCCAGTGTTGGAGTTTGGGGCTGGTGGGAGGTGTTCGTATCATGGGGGTGTATCCCTCATGAAAGGCCTTAGCCCATCCCCTTTGGGATAAGTGAGCCCTTACTCTGTGTTCTAGCAAGATCTCGTCATTTGAAAGTGTGTGGCAGCTCCTGCCCACTGCCCCCTCTCTCTCTTGCTCTCTTCTCGCCATGTGATGTGCCTGCTCCCCCTTTGCCTTCTGTCATGATTGGAAAGTTCCTGAGGCTTCCGCAGAAGCAGATGCCACCCACTATGCTTCTTGTACAGCCTGCAGAAACACAAGCCAATTAAATTTCTTTTCTTATAAATTACTTAGTCCCAGCTATTTCTTTATAGCAATGCAAGACTGGCCTAATACAGAAAATTGGTACTGAGAAGTGGGGCATTATAAAGATAACTGAAAATATGGAAGGAACTTTGAAACTGGGTAATGGTCAGAGGTTGGAAGAGTTTAGAGGACTCAGAAGAAGATAGAGAGATGAAGGGGAGTTTGGGACTTCTTAGATACTGGTTAAATGACTGTGACCAAAATGCTGGTAGTGATATGAACAGTGAAGTCCAGGCTGAGGTGGTCTCAAATGGAAATGAGGAAGTTATTGGGAACTGGAGCAAAGATCATGTGTGTTATGCCTTTGCAAAGAACTTGGCTGCATTGTGTCCATGCCTTACGGATTTGTGGAAGTTTGAACTTGAGAGTGATGGCCTAGGGCATCTGGAGGAAGAAATTTCTAAGCAGTAAAGTGTTCAAGATGTGGCTTGGTTGTTTCTAACATCTTAAGCTCATATGCAGGAGCAGAGAAATGACTTAACTTGGAATTTATGTTTAAACAGGAAGCAGAGCAAAACCATTTAGAAAATTTGCAGCATGGCCATGTGGCAGAGAAATGAAGTTTTTTGGGGGAGGAAAAGCAGGCTGTGGAGCAACCAACCTGAGAAATTTGCATAACTAAAAAGGAGCCAAGTGCTAATAGCCAAGACAATGGGGAAAGGCCTCAAAGGCATTTCAGAGACCTATGAAGTAGCCCTCCTATCACAGGCCCAGAGGCCTAGGAGGGGAGAATGGTTTCATGGGCAAGGCCCAGGCCTTGCTGCCCTGCATAGCCTTGGGACACTACTCTTCACATGCTGGCTGTTTCAGTTCCAGCCATGACTCAAAGAGGGCCAGGTACAGCTTGGGCTGCCACTTTGGAGAATGCAAGCTATAAGCCTTGGCAGCTTGCACGTGGTATTAAGCCTGTGGGTGCACAGAATACAAGACTGAAAAACACTTGGCAGCATCTGTGTAGATTTCAGAGGATATATGAGTGAAAGCCTGTGTGACCAGGTAGAAGCCTGCTACAAGGTTGAAGCCCTTACCAAGGGCAATGACAACAGGAAATGTGGGGTTGTAATATCCACACAGGGTTCCCAATGGGGCACTGCCTAGTGAAGCTGTGAAAAGGGGCCACCATCCTCCAGACCTGAGAATGTTAGCTCCACCAACAGCTTGCACCCTGCACCTGGAAAAGCTACAGGCACTCAAATCCATCCTGTAAGAGCATCCTCAGGGGCTAAACCCTTCAAAGCCACAGGGGTGGAGCTGCCCAGCTCATTGGGGGCCCACCCCTTGCAGCAGTGTGTCCTCTATGTGGGATATAGGGTATAAGATTATTTTGGAGCTTTAAGATTCAATGACAGCCCTGCTGGATTTTGAACTTGCATGGGGCCTGTAACCTATTTCTTTTGGCCAATTTTTTCTCTTTGGAATGGGAATGTTTACCCAAAGACTATACCCCCTTTGTATCTTGAAAGTAACCAACTTGTTTTTTATTTTACATGCTCATAGGTAGAAAGAATTTTCTGTGTCTCAGTTGAGACTTTGAACTTTTGAGTTAATGCTGGAATGAGTTAAGATTTTTCAGGGACTACAGCTACTCAGGAAGCTGAGGCAGGAGAATGGCATGAACCCAGGAGGCAGAGCTTGCAGTGAGCCAAGATCACGCCACTGCACTCCAGCCTGGGTGACAGAGTGAGACTCCGTCTCAAAAAAAAAAAAAAAAAAAAAACATTTTGCAGGGACTATTGAGAAGGTATGATCGTATTTTGCCATGTAAGAAGGACATGAGATTTGGGAGGGGACAGGGGCAGGACAATATGGTTTGAATATATGTCCCCACCCAAACCTATTATTGAATTATAATCTCCAATGTTGGAAGTGAGCCTGGTGAGGGTGTTTGGATCATGGGGGTGTATCCCTCATGAATGGCTTAGCCCATCCCCTTTGAGATAAGTGAGCCCTCACTCTGAGTTCTCATGAGATCTGATTATTTATAAGTGTGTGGCATCCTCCTCTCCATTCTCTCTTTTGCTCTGTTCTTGTCATGTGATGTGCCTACTGCCTCTTTGCCTTCTGCCATGAGTGGAAGCTTTCTGAGGCTGCCCCAGAAGCAGATATCACTATGTTTCCTGTAAAACCTGTAAAATCATGAGCCAACTAAATCTATTTTCTTATAAATTACCTAGTCACAGATATTTATAGCAATGCAAGAATGGCCTAATACAACAACCATTGCTGAGATTGTCATAATGTTCAGGTAGTCCTACCAGATAGTGAGGCTCAGGCTATTAGAATGACAGCATCATTTTTGTTTTTTAGATTCACTTTTTAAATTTTTTTAAAAAAAAGACTAGGTCTCACTATGTTGCCCAGACTGGTTTCAAACTCCTGGCTTTAAGCAATCCTCTTGCCTTAGCCTCCAAAAGTGCTGGGATTGCAAGCAAGAGCAACCATACCTAGCCTAGGTTCACTTTTTATAGGAGAGTACACAGATATAACAATACATTTTCATGAGAGCTGGTCAATGTGTTCTCCTGGGAAATCATCATCCCTATAAAGATATCGAACATTTCTATCACCCCACAGAGTTCCCTCATTCCTCCTTCTAGTGAATCCACAATGCCACCTACGCAATTATAATATTTGCAACGATAAATTAGTTTTCCCTTGTCTACAGTAAACAACTCTGTATGAATAAATACACATACGTAGATACACATGGTTCCTTGGCAATGCCCATTTTTTCAGCTTTTTAAATGCTCCATTCTCTCCAGCCTTCTATGTCATTGCATAGTCATTTGCATTGACATTTTTCCCCATTTGTATGTAGAATTATTCCTTGTGTATAGAATAACTGTCATAGTTAATTTATTGGGAAGTGTACCTTGTCAAGACAGAGTTAGAAGATTCCTGTAATTTTTTTTTTGCATATTGGGATGAAAAAATTATTATTACTGTTCTAGAATTTATTAACAGCTGTTTTTAAAGTTGAATTTTATTTTTAATTCATTGTAACATGCAAATTTCTATTTTATAAAATAGAGTAAATACAATTAACAACTATAATTCAAATTTGTAGAATTATGTACAGCTCTGAGTTAGACACCTGAGTTCTAAATCCAACTCTATGAGTAAGAATGTAGTACAAGATTGTGTCATATATGACAAACCAGTTAAAATGTGGCATATCTTCTTCAAAGAACAAAATAAAAAGCACATTCTATGCATTTTAAGTGTATTTCAATGGTTTTTGATATCAATATTTTAATTTTAAATGTTGAGAATTTTTTAGATGAAGAATCTGAAAAGTTAAATTGTTCAAAGACGCAGTTTTCCTTTAGAAGAAAGTGAATTGCAAGCCACTACTCTTTGACCCCATTTCCTTATCCTTCTTCAAAATAAAGAAAATTCTATAATGTGAAGGAATGCAGGGCAGTAGGCAATGCTGTTTTATAATTCTGTAGCATCTAGTTAAGTGCTGGAACTTTAGTATACAAAAGTTTATTTTGATCGAATATTTTCACTTCCAGAATTAAATAAGCAACACTGCTAATAAGTATGAGTCTTGGCTATATTAACTTGTGACCTATAAAGAAATTCATCTTGTGAAAAGTTGTGGGATGTCTTAATCTCTTAATTTTATGGCCTCCTTGTCATGGTCTTTCCCAGGACCATTGCCTCCTCTGTACCTGTACCAGTACTCTAGCTAAACTCTGGACCTTGAAGTCCGTTAGTTCTGAGGTGGAGCAGGTTCTCAGTAATGAATACAGCTTCCGAAATCAGAGTCCTTTGCCTCTTAGCTCAATGTATACAAATCAGGCCTCTCAACACTCCCTCAGAGCCTGTGGATGAACAGCCTCAAAGTTAGAGCCACATAGTCAATTTAGACAGAAAAGAGTTTCTTCCAGAAAAGGAAGAGGCTCTCCATCTGCCAGAGCTCTCAGAACTGAAATCCACCCAGGCTGTAGTCAACTGTTAATACTCTCTTTCCATCAAACAATAAATAGCCCTGACCATCTGGGCAACTTGTCAGGACCTCACAATCCTGGTCAACCCAGTAACGTTTAGCTTTGTTTCATTTATATCTTCATGTGCCACTTCTTACAAAACTTTTTAAAACCTATGTACCCCAGTTTCCAAGTCCCATATTTTATAATCTCTTACTGTCCTGATTCATCATAGTGGCTGATGTTTTTTTAACTACCTGGGTCCATATTACCATTTTTGAAGACTTAAACAGCTAGGTTATCTTCTTCTACTCATTATTAGCCAGTTTTGCTATCATTCTGGGTAATTTAATGTTTGTGTAAAATACCTATACGTACTCCTAATCTCTCAATTTCTTTAACATCCTTTTTATTTTCTCCCCAACATCATGACCTGCACCACACTAGAATTAGTACTCCTACAGCAGCTCCCTTTATTTTTTAACAAATGTTGGAAAGATTAGCTTTTGGAACTCTGAGATGAAATAGTTTTAAGTGATGAAAATTCCTATACTTTCAATTATCTACTCAGTTATGCTCATTACACATGTTTCAGGTAAATAAGAAAGTGAATGTGAGAAAAAGGTAAGGAAAGGGAGTAGAAGCCTTCATGAAGTCAGCTTTCACAGTTCAGCATCACTTAGTCTATGTTATAGACTAAGATAAATATTTCTTGCAAATATATTTCACTTGAGTTTCATATTGCTACCAGAGAAATATTTTAAACAGTCATTTTCTTCTTTCTCCCCATATATAAACATTTATTTACAATTATTTAAGTGATTAAATATGTTAATAATATTAAATAGCAGTTATTAAAATATTAAAAGATTACTCCAATATGAAATAGAAATACAAATTTTGAAATGTTCTTGCAACACCGCAATAAATCAACCCCACGTTGGAGATTGCATTCTATTTTGTGCCCCATTTCTCTTACAGTCAACCCATCTGAAAACCCCTAATTCTGAATCAAACAAACCACTTGTTCATCTTCTCTGTACCTATACCCAGGCTGTGGAGGTCTGGTAGACTAAGAACCACCAATTTTGGTTTTTATTATAAATATGTGTTCTCCATTTGAACTGAGTGCTCAGTGCCACCAATTAATCTGTTTCTTTCCATAGTTAGCTCTCCCTCATCTTCCACAGCTAGGAATTCAATGCTTTCCCACTCTCTAACTGCTAACCTTCCTGTCTCCTCACTTTTATTCTCACTAAATGACTTCATTTTAGTTTTCAGAGTATATAGAAATGATCAAATAAATTCCTTCAACTCTCTGCCACTTTATCTATAACATGTTTCTGAGCCCCCTTTTTTTCCTTCCCGTCATTAGAAAAGATTGTTCAAGACAGTCTCAATTTATGCATATCGTCCCAGAGTAATTATTAACAGTACCTCCTTCCATTATTAAAATGTTAGCCCTAATTATACTGGAAGCCCTGCTTGTCTAACTTCTGATCTCTAATATCATCAGGGTACTACCCTTTTTCCGTTTATTACATTTTACTCTATTTTTCTTATATCTTCAAACTTCTATTCTCTTCTGGTCTGCTCGTCTAACTTCTGATCTCTAATATCATCAGGGTACTTCCCTTTTACTGTTTATTATATTTTACTATATTTTTCTTATATCTTCAAACTTCTCTTCTGATTTTCTTCCATCAATGTTTATGTTTATTTCATAGTAAAAAATAAAGCACTTTATACCACAGTTTTCTTCACTACATCTCTTACTCAGCCTGCACTTAAAAGAGTTAATGACATTTGCTTTTTTCACTTTCCTGCCACTCATTATTACTTATTAACCCATCGCAATTGAGATTTTGCACCACAGCACTGCACTGAAACTGTTTTTGTCAAGTATGAATGACTTAACTGAATCTACTGACATTTGTCCCTTTTGCTATGTGACCTCTATCCCCCATGCCTTCTTTCTTGAAAATAAGACACTACACCCTTCTGGTTTTCCTCTACTTTGATAGTGATTGCTTATTTTTTTTTCATGAGTTCTTCTTTTTCTGCTCATCCCTTAAATGTTAATATTTCCTATGGTTTCTATGTCCCCCTTTCTTCTTACCCTCTCATATTTCTTGGGCTACTTAATCTACTCATATGGACACAGTTACCATATATATGCTGTTGATTTGAAAACATACAACCTAGATATTCTGCTAGATCACTCTAGGATCTAGATATAGATCTCTCTCCTCATCTCCAGACTCTGACATCCAATTGCCAGTCAGACATATTCTCTTGGATGGTATTTTTTCATCCAGAACCTGACACATACAATCTTGTGTGATCCCTTTCTCCTTTCCTTCCGTTATCCCCACAGTTCTCCAATCCATTCATCTTCCTGTATTCCCAGATGTCCAATCCTGAAACCTGAGAAATGTAACTGTTTCATCATGTTCCCTTACCCTATTGCACCCCTTAGCCAATCACTCCACAATTTTTTAAATTCTATCTGATTAACAGATCTCAGATATTTTCGCTTATCACCATCTTCACAACCCCTATGATAGGCTAAGTGACCACCATAGTTCCTTAGATTATTCTAACAGTTCCTTAAATACCACCCCCATCTGCAGCCGGAGAAATATTTATAAACACCAATCTCACAACCTTCCTGTAACACAACTGTTACAAACACTTTAGTAGTTTCTCACTCCCGTACCTAATAGGCTTAGAATGCCTGCAGGACTCTGCCCTTCTAGCCTCATCTTTTATTACCTTTCCTGTTTATTTCAGATGAATGAAACAACTTTTACTTCCCGCATGAATTGTGCTCTCTGTAAATTTGTGTCCTTTTCACATACTGTTTTTTCAGTTGAAAACCTCAAAATCTCAGATTACATATAAACTCTTTGAGAAAGCTGTTTCTGATTCTACATATAGCATTATTTCTATGTACTTTTCCTATAATTTGGAGAAATGGGACAAATCAGAGACTTTATAAATATATATATATATATAGAGAGAGACTTCTTTATATATATAAAGTGTATATATATGTGTATATATATATATATATATATAGCCACATTTATAACTACATGCATAGGATTTGTGTGGTATCCAGGAATGCAATGCAGGAGGGAAAAATATATATATATATTTGTGTTCCCTACCATATCTTTCTGATACGTCACTAATTCAAGATCGTGTGACTGAAAATGCAAAGAAACTAAGGGGATTTATATTATAACTAACATCAAACAGCAAAAATTAAGAATTAATAATAGGCATTTCTGCATTTTAAAGTCCCTCACTTGTATACACTACTAGAGAAATTGCTCATCTCTTCAAAAGTTCTAATCCCCTCCAATATCCTCAAGCCCTCCTTCAACCCCATTAGCTTTCTCTTCTTTCAGTTATCTAATTATTCATTTTTATAGAGATTACTTTAATTGTCTCTGAATCTGAGCCAATTCTAGTCATGATTTGAAGGTTATCTCTCCATAAGACATTTTGCTAAGAAAAATAGCTTACTTTTTTAAAATAAATTTTTTTAAAAATGAAAAAATTGTGTTACTAATGGTAATGTTAGGTTAATATTTCTTTTTCTCTAAACTGCTCATCTGTATTTCCTACATAAAGATAAACTACTTCAGAGCAGAATCCACGTCATGTTTTGCCATCGTCTCACTAGTAACTTCTCAGTGTCTGGCCTATTTTAACTTTAAATATATATTTGTGTAGTAAACTTTAAAAACCTTAAAAATATTAATACTAAGGCAAAGTTACTATAGTACAATAAATGAATAAATAGTTTCTTAACTTTTAAAATTTTTTCTTTGATGACACAACTTAGACAATCTAACATTTCCAAGCATTTGTCTCAGGGAGTCATCTTTAAGGTTCACTGAGAACCATAAAAGGGTAGGATGATAAGCTCTGATAACAGAGAAGAATGATACGTGTCTATGTATTACTCTTGCTGTTTAGTCCTAGACTAAAATGGCATGAATGTAAACATTTTTTTTAAATTGCTCTATTAAGAATATTAATGCCCACTCAAGACTGTGAGCAGTCTGATGGTCAATGATAAGTTCTGCAGACCATTTTACCCAATTATTATTTCTTCCTACCTCTGTAATTATAGCATATATACCTGCCACAGTAGTTCCTTCTAATTGTGGGATAAATAGTTCTTCAAAGGTACAAATAGCTAATCATAATTTGTAACCACATTGACTGTGTTTGAGCTGGAAATATAGTTATTTTAATGTTTTATCCAGAAGGACCCTTGGAGTATAATTTAGATTTTGAATATCTTAAATGTTGCCTGTAATACAACCTATTATAATGGCTTATTTTGTTATTATCTCAGAATGATGCTAGAATATTATACTATTTAGAATTTTAGTTTTATAATTACTCACATTTTATATTACTTTTAATATTATGTGTATTTTTCATAATAATTCATTTTTGTTTACGTTTTTATGAAATACTTTCATAGATTTAAAATAAAAACAGTTTCTTATTGTTTTCAAATTTATCTTTTACTTTAGTTTTTAAGATTTGGTTCAATTTCTTAATGATAGCAACTTATAAATATTTCTGGAAATTTGTTTCAAAGTTGCAATATGGCCTGGTCTATACAGCTAAATTTGCATAATGTAAACAATATTACAGTGATTCATATTCTATCAGTGGAATTTCTTATGTTTCAGGAGAACAATGACATTCACAATAATAAAATGTTCCCAATGGTTTTCTGTCAAAGAAACCAATAATGTCTAAGAAATTTGGTAATTTCATCAAAATGTACACACTTTTTTTTTAGGGATTGTGATATCTAATTTTAACTTCACTTGGGTAAAGAATGCCCAGATGGGTAGTAAAGAATTGTTTTGAGGTGTGTTTGTGGAGGGTTTCCAGAAAATATTAGCAGTCGAATCTGTAGATTTAGTAAAAAAGATCTGCCCTCATCAATGTAGGTGGGTATTATCCAATCGGTTTAGGGCCTGAAGATAAGAATAAAAAGGCAGAGGAAGGGAAAAGTTTCTTTTCTTCTTGAGCTGGGACATCCATTTTTTCCTACTCTTGGACATCAGACCTTCTGGTTCCTGGGACTTTGGACTCTCCCCACTTCCTATTCTCAGATCTTTGGCCTTAGGCTGAGGGATTACGCTATCATTCCCCTGGTCCTCAGGACTTCACACTCAGACTGAATTACACCACTGGCATTCCTGGTTCTACAGCTTGCAGATGGCATATTGTGGGACTTGCTGGCCTCCATGGTTGTATAAGCTAAATTATATAATAAATATTATCTTATGTATCTATTTATCCTATTGTTATTGCTCTGGAGAACCCTGGCTGAAACAGTGGTCATATTTACTTCTATCTTTATGTAGTAGTACACAACAGTATCTTGTTTCAGTGAAAAAGCATAAAGTTTTACAGTGTCTTCAATAAATGGTTTTAGGACAACTGGATATCCACATGCAGAAGAATTAAATTAGATCTTCATCTTACGCCATCTACAAAAATCAACACAAAATGGATTAAAGACTTAAACATAAAACCTGGAACTGTAAAATTACTGGAAGAAAACATAGGGGAAAAGCTCTGTAACATTTTTCTGGGCGATAATTATTCGAACATGAACCAAAAAGCACAGGTAACATATCTGAATAGACATTTCTCAAAGGAAGAGATACAAATGGGCAACAAGTATCTGAAAAAGCTGCTCAAAAATCACTAACCGTCAGAAAAATGCAAATTAAAACCTCAATGAGATATCACCTCCCGCCTGTTAGGTACCGCTTTTTAGAATGACTATTATCAAAAAGATGAAAGATTATGTGTTAGGATACAGGAAAAAGAAAACCCTTGCACACTGTTGGTGAAAACATAAATGACTACAACGATTATGGAAAGTTATATAATGTTTCCTCAAAAAATTAAATATAAAACTCCCATATGATCAAACAATCCTTCTATTGGGTATATATCCAAAGGATTTAGAATTACATATCAAAGAGACACTTGCACTCCTGTATTCATTGCAGCATTATTTATAATAGCCAAGATATGGAAACAACCTACGTGTCCATGAATGAATGAATGAAGAAAACGTGGTATATATATATGTATACAATGGAATTCTATTGCCGCTTAAAAAAGAAGGAGTCTTGTCATTTGCAACAACATGAATAAACCTGGAGGACATTTTATTAAGTGACAAAAAACAGGCACGAAAGACAAGTGCCATGCAATCTGACTTATATGTAGAATATTAAAAAGTTAAACTTGTAGAAATAGAGTAGAATGGTTGTTACCAAGAGCTGGGGCAGAGGGGTTTGGAGAGATGTTGGCTACAAAATTTCAGTAAGATAAGAGGAATAAATTCAAGAAATCTGTTGTACAACATGGTTACTATAGTTAATGATAATGTATTGTATTCTTAAAAATTGCTAAGAGTAGATTTTAAGTGTTCTCACCATACAAAAAAAATGTTAAATATGTGAATAATGCATATGTTAATTAGCTTAGTTTAGCCATTCCACAATGTATACATATGTCATACAACATGTTTTACACACTAGATACAATCAAGTAAATAAATAAGTTAAATTTAAAAAAAAAGTCTTAAAAATAAGTGAAACTTAATTATTTGAAACCCTAAGTTTAAACTTGCTGGCTATAAGAATTTATACAAGTTACTTAGCAGCTCTATGCACAAGCTATCTCATTTATAAAGTCTGAAATACTTTGCCCTCCTGAAGACTTGAAAATCATATACATGAAACATTTACCAAATGCCTAGGACTGATTATATTATTATTTTTTTGCCAAAACAGAATAACTTTAGTTATTTCTTTCTTTCCCTACATCATATTCCATTGTCTCGGGTGGCATCCAGTAACTAGTTAAAATAACTCCAAGATCCATAGCTCTCAGAGCTGCACATGGAGCCTGGGCTATGTTGTAATCATAGCAACTGTTTTCCAAATTTATAGCAAAGGAAATATCTTTAATACCCTTTCATTTCAGTAACCACTCCACCTCCCTCCATCAACTGAAACAAATTCAAGTAGTAGTTCTTTTTTTTTTTTTGCACATTTTTCTATTACCTATGAATTAATATTGATCTTAGTAGATTCCAGATTCACTTTCAGTATCCTCAAACTCAAATTTGTTTCTTTACAGCGGACCTCCAATTTCAAAATGAAGTGGTTCATGAAGCATTTTAAATTCTGAATGATAATTCTTAATTTGGTATTCTTTCGCCGGTCTTCAATATCTACAAAAGTATATATTGAAAATAGTATGTTTAAGGAGACAGAATTTATTTGTTCAAGGTCATCATTGAGTTTTGGACACATGAATACTCCTTGAGCAATTTGATATATATTAATCGGGATGACCAGTTGATCAGCTGAAACACTAATAATGATAACAGGTTAATATATTCAAGAGTTTCCTATTATAAGCAAGGCTAAATAAAGAAATATAAATCAATAGCCATTTAAGCATAAGTAAACATTTGATATGATATACAGATCTTTTTTTGCAAATTAGATATTATTTTTTATTTTATTATTATTATACTTTAAGTTTTAGGGTACATGTGCACAATGTGCAGTTTAGTTACATATGTATACATGTGCCATGCTGGTGTGCTACACCCATTAACTCGTCATTTAGCATTAGATATATCTCCTAAAGCTATCCCTCCCCCCTCCCCCCACCCCACAACAGTCCCCAGAGTGTGATGTTCCCCTTCCTGTGTCCATGTGTTCTCATTGTTCAATTCCCACCTATGAGTGAGAATATGCTGTGTTTGGTTTTTTGTTCTTGCATTAGTTTACTGAGAATGATGATTTCCAATTTCATCCATGTCCCTACAAAGGACATGAACTCATCATTTTTTATGGCTGCATAGTATTCCATGGTGTATATGTGCCACATTTTCTTAATCCAGTCTATCATTGTTGGACATTTGGGTTGGTTCCAAGTCTTTGCTATTGTGAATAGTGCCACAATCAACATACATGTGCATGTGTCTTTATAGCAGCATGATTTATAGTCCTTTGGGTATATACCCAGTAATGGGATATTATTAAAGGGACTTAAACCTTAATTTCAAGGAATACTACCTATTTTTAAATATGTGCTGTTTCTTAAAGCACTTTGCCTTTTTAGCAACCTACTCACTTCTTTGAAAATGTACAACTAACAACTTTGAACTTATCAATGGGATAAAGGGTTAATTACATACATAGATTTACGTTCCTCTTTGATTGCAGAAAATTTTTATTTTATTTGGCTTACTTCAGGAGTAAAGCTTTCCTGTTCAATTATGTTAATTGTTGACCTTTTCTCTTGATTAAACCTGTATCCAATTACAATTGGAGACATATTTTATGTTTACCTAATATGGCACACATAAAGTCTAAATACAGAAATAAATGTCTTGTGTAGCTAGCATAAAATCTGGCACATAAAGAAGAGATTTTTCAACAAACAGCTCTATATTGCAACAGCCATTGTTTCAGCACTCTAATTCAGTGCAACATAAAACTGAGAACTTTGAGAAATAGATAGAAATTACAATTGATCAAGAGCTCCAGGAACCAAAAAACTGATTGATTTAATTGTTGAATATCCAATTCTAAGAGCTTTTAGGAATAAATTGTGAGAATACAGAATTGTCAGAGTTTGAGAGATAATATCACCAATATATTTAGTACTATAAAGACCACACCATAAGCATGGTATAGTGTTCTGGACATCACCTTTGAAGAAGGATATTATATGGTGCAGTTTGTGTGAACGAGAGCTGCATGGATAACTGAGATCTCAGCTCATGCCACATAATTAACTAATGGACTAATTAGGGATATTCACCCTACACAAGAGGCCAATCAGAAAGCAAACTAACAAACTTGATAGTGGTTTTCACATATTTGAGGGATTCTTATGGTAAAGATCAACCAGACTTGTTTTTTTAAGATATTCAGTGGTTAGGAGGTAGGTGAAAAATGTAATGCTATGTTTTCATTTTAATATAGGAAAACTCCAAATATTTAGAATCACTTGTTAAAACTATAATAGTCTGCCTTAAAAATAACAGTGTTTTTTTTGGTCGTGGAAATGGTAAAGGAACACCTAAATAGTCACTGAGTTATGAGGCTGTGTAATACAATTGAAGATCTAACTAATACTTGAATTAACTATATATCAGTGTGCCCTGTAAGTTTGATTATTTCTGAATATGTGGGATAAAATTATTGTAGAGGTTGATTTAAAAGGTAATGATACATTAAAAACACAAAATGCTGACATCAGTTTATCAAAATATGTATTAACCCTGTACACTGAAAACTACAAAATAATGCTGAGAGAAATGAAAAAAGACCTAAATAAATGGTGATATATAACAAATTTATGTATTAGGAGATTCCATGTTTTTAAGGTGTTAATTTTCCCCCAAATCATTTACAATTCAATGAAATCCAAATAAAAATTTCAACAGAAATATTTTGGTAAAAATAGTTAAGTTGAATCTAAAGTGTATTTCAAGAGGCAAACAATCTAAAATAATTAAGTGTTTTTGTAAAATAAGAACAAAGCTAGAAATCTTGCACTACCATGGTTTCAAATCTTACTATAAAGCTACAGTAATCAAGACAATGTGGTATTGGCAACAGGATAAAGATATAGTTTCATGAAACAGTAATGATTTTAGAAATAGATCTCCACATATAGGGGTCAATAGGTTTTTGATAAATATGTCAAAATAATTCAATGGGTAAAAGAACAATATTTTCACCGATTTAATATTAGAACAATGAACAAGAACAAATGGAAATTTACATAAATAATACGAACTTCAAACTGTTATCTTACAAAATTAATTTAAGGTAGGCCATTTATCTAAAGATAAAAGCTAAGATTATAAAGCTTCTGGATATAAACATAACTAGACAAAAACTTCCAAGAGACACTTAAAACATTGCTATAATAGAAAAAAATAATAGATTTGACTCCAGGAAAATGAAAAACATTTTCTTATCAAAAGTGATTATTATGAAAATGAAAACTACTGTGGTCAGAATATTTGTGTCCCTGGTTAATTCACATGCTGAGTTCTTAACCACCAAGGTGATGGCATTAGGAGGTGGGGCCTTTGGCAGGTGATTAGATCATGATTGGGATGTAAAAAAAGACCCCAAAAAGCTAACCTGCCCCTTCCACCATGTGAGGACACAGCTAGAAAGTGCTGTCTATGAAGAAAGGTGGTCCTTACCAGATGCTGTATCTGCCAGTGTCATGATCTTTAACTTCCCAGGTTTCAGAATTGTGAGAAATAAATTTCCATTGTTTATAAGCTACCATGTGTATATTTTGTTATAGCAGTCTGAATGGACTAAGACAAAAAGAAAAGCCACAGACTGAGAAAAATATTCACAATATGTATATCTGACAAGAATTTATAAATTTGTATCTCATATATATATTTTTATACCTATATATATGAATATAGACAGATAAATGTAAAAATAAATGCAATCCCATCAAGAAAAACAAATCAATCAATAGGAAAATGGGCAAAATACTTGAATAGACATTTCACAAAAGAGGATATGTGAATGGAAAGCAAGCATGAGAAAGATGCTCAGCATTATTTGTTATCAGGAAGAGCCAAGCTAAAATTACAACTAGGTACAATTCCCCATCTAATAGAATGGCTAAGATTGAAAAGATTTACAACAAATGCTGGCAAGGGTTTAGAGCAACTTGAACACTTAGACAATATAGGTGGGAAAAAAACTGATAGAGCCACTTTGGAAAACTATTTTACAGTTTCTTGTAAATGTAAACATATACCAACTGTATCAACCAATGATTTCATTTCTAAGTATTTACTCAAGAAACATGAAAACATTAGTCCATTAAAAAGACTTGTACATGAATATTCATAGCAGTTTTATTTATAAGAGCCAGGAACTAAAAACAACTTAAATATTTATTAGCAGGTGAATTGACGAACAAATTTTCATCAATTTGTAGAACAGGGTATTACCAAAAATAAAAAGAAACAAACTACTTCTATAGCAACTGCATGGATGAATATAAAAGACAGTGTATTATAGAAAGCCAGATGCAAGTAAGTTTATACTGTATGAATCCATTTCCATAAAATGTTAGAAAGGTAAAATAATCTTTAGTAACAGAAGGTATATTAGTAATTTTCAGGTGCTTTGATGGGAAAGATTTGAGGCAGAGTCATTTTTTGGGGTAATAGAAATATTTTGTACTTTAATTTTGATGATAACTACACAGATATATATATTTATTGAAACTCATTAATTGTATACTTTAAAAAATGCATTTTATTTCTAGAAATCATACCTCAATAAAGTTACTTTAAGAAAAGATGATGACCAAAATGCACATGCTAAAAGTAATCCGAATATAGAGCTAAAATATTATAGAATCCTCTTAGCCATTATTTTAGAAAAAAGAACACAGTATTCCATGCAGCCATAAAAAATGATGAGTTCATGTCCTTTGTAGGGACATGGATGAAATTGGAAATCATCATTCTCAGTAAACTATCGCAAGAACAAAAAACCAAACACCACATATTCTCACTCATAGGTGGGAATTGAACAATGAGATCACATGGACACAGGAAGGGGAATATCACACTCTGGGGACTGTGGTGGGGAGGGGGGAGGGGGGAGGGGGGAGGGATAGCATTGGGAGATATACCTAATGCTAGATGACGAATTAGTGGGTGCAGCGCACCAGCATGGCACATGTATACATATGTAACTAACCTGCCCAATGTGCATATGTACCCTAAAACTTAAAGTATAATTAAAAAAATAATAATAAAAATTAGAAAATGTAAAAAAAAAAAAAAAAAAAAAGAACACAGTAAAAGCATTGTTCAAAAGACTACCAAAGGATCTAAAGTCACTAAAGAAAAATCAGATACAGAATGAAAACAAGAGGGAAAAAAGACCGGGTGCGGTGGCTCATGCCTGTAATCCCAGCACCTCGGGAGGCTGGGGTAGGAGAATTGCTTGAACCCGGTGGGTGAAGGTGGCATTGAGCAAAGATCATGCCACTGCACTCCAGCCTGGGTGACAGAGTGAGACTCCATTGCAAAAAAAAAAAAAAAAGAGGGGAAAACGAAGTGGATAAGGAAGGATAGAATTATTTATATTAATAGATACTTTTCCATGTAAACAATGACTAAATATGTTGTGTAGAAATAAAATCTGATTATAAAGAAAAGTGGTAATGTTCTGATAGTGCTTGCAGGAAATGAGATTTTTAGTAAGTAATGTAATTTAGAACAGGCTTGAAAGAATGTTCTCCTGGTACATCATACCAAACTGTCTTTTCAATAAAAAAGACATATGGCATTAATTATAAGATGGTTATGTGAAAGGTACATGTTAATTTTCATATGAAAGAACCTGCATAAAATAGTTTTATGACTACTATCATCATTATTATAATGCCTCCAAGATACTCCCCCAGCTTGGAAAAATAATTCAAATTTCATGTCAATTGCAGCATGATAAATCCAAGAGGTTGCTGTTACCACATTGAGAATAATAGCCCTTTTTCTTTGAAATCAGCAGGGAAAATGGAAGCAAAATAAAATGCAAGTGCTGATATTTCTCAATGTTCCTAGATCACTGGCAGGTTGAAGAAATAAGCCGTGTGTGTGTTCGTGTGTGTGTGTGTGTGTGTGTGTGTGTGTGTGTGAAAAATTACTGGGTTCAAGCTATTCCTGCTTTCTTCTGGTTACAATTAGCACTTGAGACAAAAGCTTTGGACACAGGTTCAGACTTGTCTTGTCAGGGACTTTTTTCTCTCATAGCCATGTGTTGTGAACATCTGCTTTTTGGGTTCTGGGCTTTTCTCTTCTGCATGGATTTCTAGTACCTACTAGTTCTCTGCTACTTTGTCTGTTTTCTCTGAACTCCAACTCTGGCTGTGTCGTTAAGGTATCCATTACGGCTGACTAGCTCATAAGACTTCTGGGTAACCCAACACCATGGGTAGAACAGATATCAGCTAAGTTAGAGTAGAATGGTTTTATATAGCTAGCTGAGAATAATATTTCTCTTTTTAGTAAAAAAAACTTATAAAGTTATACATTTATGCATGCACATAATAATAAAATAAAATGGATAGAAATGCTAAAATAAAATTGACAGAAAGGCTAAAACAAAATCTACAAAAAGGCCAAAATAAAAAGCTAGCAACTTTCAGCTTCAGCATATTCCTTCAACCGCCCTGTATCTTACCCCCCAAAAAAACTATTGTTAATCTTTTCTATTTTCATATATCTTATGGATTTCTTTCCTAAGTATAAACAACAGGCATATAACACTGTTTACTGACTATTTATACATTATTGACTGGAAATGAAGACATTTCATTTACAGTCTAATCTATCATTCTTACCCCTCTATGCTTTATACTTATGTGATTATTATTAATTTAGTCATAGTTTTCCCTAGATATCCCTAGTTAATTTAGAGAAATTGCTTGTTCATATAACTTCTCCTTTCCTTCCTTAGAACAGGGTCTTTATGTTCAAACAGGCTGGAGTGCAGTGTCATGACCATAGCTCACTAAAGCCTCGACCTCCTGGGCTCAAGTGATCCTCCTGCCTTAACCTCCAAAGTAGCTGGGACCATGGGTGCATGCCATGATGCTCAGCTTTTTTAAAGCACTTTTTTGTAGAAAGGGGGTCTCTTTATATTGGCCAGGCTGCTCTTGAACTCCTGGCCTGAAGCAACCCTCTCACTGTGGCCTCCTAAAGTGCTGGGATTATAGGCATGAGCCCTTGTGCACAGCCTCATTAACTCTTGAAACCTATCTTTATTATTTCTTCAAATATTTTATTCTATCCATTTATCCTGTTCCCTTTTCAACAGTCCTGTTTTCAAGATGATGAAACATTTATTTCTATTATCCATATTTTTAGCTTTAACTTTTTTTGTCACTTTTTTTCTTGCTGCATGCCAAATAAGCTCCTCAATCACATATCCAATTTACTATTCTTTCAGCTGTCCATTTATTCTGCTGTTTGTTCCAAATATTGCACTCTTTAATTAATTTTATTAATATCTGTATCTAATAAAACCACTTGATTTTAAAGGTTTTTTTTTTGTTTTTTATTACCAATCTGTTTCTTTATATCTCAAATGTATTTTGAAATGTTTATCTTAGATTCTTGTTTTCCCAAGTTCCAGAATTTTGCAACAGATGTTATGTTTACAGTTGTTTTCAGTTTACTTTCTTTTGGCCACCTATATTCTCCTGAAACATCAACTATATGACATAATAGTGTATACTGAGGAAGAAGTGTGTATTGAAATCCATGCCCCAGTTAGATTTCGAAAGGAAGAAGATGATATTGATGGCACAGGACCAAGCCCATGAAAACAATGTTAATCACTGTCCTCTGCTGGCTTTCCCCTGGACAACTCCTTAGGTCTGGATTTTGCTTCAGGGAGAAACAGCATTGGCCAGAGCAGTCTTCCTAGGTTGAAATCCCTAGACTTGGTGTTTGGAAGGATGGGATGGATGAAAGGTTTTTTTTGAGCAATGCTAGCCAGCCCACAGTTGCTTTAATCAATTTCTTGTGCCAACAGAGCTTTTGCATAGCCCAAATTTTCCCCTTAAAATACTAGTATCCTGATTTCTGAGGATGTATGTGGTATAATGTCAGAGAAAACCAGAGCTAGACAGAAGTTAAAGTGGTGAAGGCAAATTTCATTCAAGGCTATTGTAATAGGGGAAATGAGACCCCAGTATAGAAATGGGCACCATTCCTAATACAGCAGGGAGAGGTGGGGGATTTATAGCCAAGGAGCAGGGAAGTTGGTATGGCAAATTACTAAGGGGAAACATCATGTCTGGGGAGAATTCTGACTGAACCAACCTAACAAAATTCCTGCTGAAGGCAGGCCAAGGGATAAGATACCAAGGATGGGTTATGAGGAATTTTAACCAGATATTGAGAGCTATCAGGTAATAAGAATGGGGAATTCTTTCTAAACTGACTTGGCAGGGTTCTTTTCTAAAACTGGATTTTACAAAGAAGTGTATATATGGGACTACAAAAAGGTTCAGGAGTCTGACTAAAGTTTAGTCAAGCAAAGAATCTTCACTAATAGGAGCAAGGAATAGTAATCCCAAGTCAACTTTCAAGAGAGATTAGTGGATACCTTTAAAGCTTTTTTCCAACTGATGCAGGACAGGCAAGCGCCAAAATTGGGGCTTAGCCCAGGAGGGTTCTTGGCTTCACCCAGGAAAGAATTCAAGGGCAAATTGGTGATATTAGACAGCAATCTTCTATTGAACAATAGAACTCCTTGCAGAGCGGGGCTAACTTATAAGCAACTGTGTTTATACTCACTTAAATCCACTTACCATTACATGCAAATTGAGGGGCAAGTCAATGCAAATTGAGGGTGGGTTAATTAGAACTTTGTAGGAAAGAGGTGGTAACTTCTGGGTCATTGCCATTGAAAGGTATGGTTACTTTCAGGTCATTGCCGTGGCATTTATAAACTGTCATGGCTCTGGTGGGAGTGTCTTATGCTAATGAGCAATGACGGGAACCCAGGAATTACCCTGGTGGCCATTTGCTGGTTCCTGCAGATTTCTTCACTTTATCCTTTCTGGATTGGATCCTATTTTGATCAGCAGGGTTTTGACCAAAAAACAATTCCTGCTGAGGTCCTACTTCACAACCCACCCCTTTACTGCTAGCTCAATAGACACACACACACACACACACACACACACACACACACACACACACACACTTATTCACATCAGTTTGGGACAGCTTTCAACCTGGAGGAAGTGATTTCTCATTTGTTTTCTTAGTCCCTGACATCCATAATATTCTCCTAATTTAGATGGGCACTATTAATCCAGATTTTCTTTTAATCTGTCTTTGTTTACCCTACTTTTCATTCCTACTATCTATCACATTTTCACACTCTGACCTTGGTGTTCTATAATAACAATTTAATGTGAATCACTTCTCTCACTAAGCTCCATCTATCTGCCAGGTCTACAACTTCATAAGTTGTTTTATTCCAGTATTTTTAAAATTTATTTGACCATAATCCATACTATCAATTGTCTTTTTTATTATAAGCCTGAATATAACTACAGACATATGTATACTGTATATATGAATTATTTTCCTTAAAAAATACCTAATTTTATTATAATCAAATACACTTTTTCCCATTATATTTCATTAAAAGTATGTGCCATGATCCGTGATTCCTGAAAAAATTCCATGAAAAACAACTTGGTATATCCCCCCGAGTTTCACATTGTTCTTATCTCTTCACTTTTATATTTTATTCACATCTATTATTCTTATTCTAGATTTTCTTCTTTTCTTTTCTTTCTTCTTTTTGTATTTATTTCCAGTCTATCCTCGGTTTTACTCTTTTGACAATATTTCCAGCCTACTTATCCTGCCATCTTTCTGTGCAAAATCCAGGCAGAAAAAAATCAATTATGGAATTAATTCAATTGGTCATCTTCAGCTGTCTTCTCCCAGGTAGCTGAATTGGACTGGAGAAAAATTAACAAACCACTCAAGCTAATGCTAATATTAATGTATTATCCAAAAATTTGATACAAATTTTAAATTATCTTATATTACTTATAAACTTCTGTAGTCTATTCTCTCATACTTTCTCCATAGCTGTTATTTAAACATTTATTTTCTCATATATCTCACACTCTCACATCTTTCTTTGCCCTACACTAAGCGAATGTCCTCCTAACCTAATTTACAGAAAATAGACTATATTGTGGCTTTACACTTGAAGATTTCTTCTGCAAATCCCAATAGAACAAAGTTTGAAAATCGCTGCAATAAATAGTGAAGACTCACAACAGGTTTAAGAAGAGCGTAGCAAATTTAGAAAAAATCACTCTGCCAAACGGGTTGAGTAAAAATCATGAAGATCACATAGGGACCTACTGGTGAGGTCTACAGAAAAGCTGAGGGTTTGAACTAAAGTAACAGCAGAAGCAGAGAGAGAAATTAGCACTATTTAATATATTTGAAAGTCCTATTAATTTACTGAATTCCTATAGTGTGACAGATATCCCTACCTTCATTATCTTCATTTTCATGGAGGAAAAAATCGTAATTTTCAAATAAATGATGCATATTGCTATTTAAGATATATGTGTGTTTTAGAGAAAAGTTAGAGAATATGGATATGGAATCCCAAGAGTAAAAACTTCAATGAGAAAGTCAAGAAAAGGTTCAGTTAGAAGGTGACATTTGAACAAGGACGCAAAGTCAACTATGAGAGAGCCAACTACGGTAATGCAAGGATGGATTAAAGTTCTTGACAAAGGAAGAGTAGGTGAAAGGCCCTGAGACAGGAACAGGTCTAGTGTGTCTGAGAAATGAAAATAATACTGTTGTTACTGAAGCATGGTATGTGAGGGAACAAATGTTAGAGAGAGGATCAAGAGAGAACCAGGGGTCAGATTGTGTAGGTACCTCGTAGGTCACTGTAATGTCATTGGCATTTATTCTGCATAAGATCAGAAACCAATAGAGGGATTTGAGTAGAGGAATGATTTACCTTTTAAGAGGCTTGCTCTGGCTATTGTGTTGAGAATACACTACAGTGGAAGAAAAGTGTCAAGATAGAAACCTCTTTCAAGTTAGAGATTATCATAGCTTGGTACAGGGAGACAACAGTAGAAATGATGGGAAATGATCAAATTCTGGATGCAAAGTAAAGCTAGCAGTATTTGCTTAAGAAGTAGATGGATGATGTGAAAAAAAGAGGAAACAAGAATATCTTCAAGGTTTTTGGACTAAACAGTTAAAGGATAAGGTAGCCAATTGCTGAGCTGGATAAGAGTTTAGAAGTGGAAGGAGTTTTGGAGAAGATTAATTCAGTTTGGCATGTTAAATCTGATATGCTCATTAGACATCCAAGTCATATGTTAAGTAGGCAATTGTAGCTATAAGTCTGAAATTCAAAGGAAAGTTTAGGTTGTAGATTTACATTTGCAATCTATAAACATACAGATGGTACTGAAAGCACAAGATTAAATGAGGACACCAAGAAAACAAGTATGAGAAGAAAAAAAAGTTTTCCAAGAACTGAATCCTTGGGCATTCCAAGGTTTATTTAAGTCAGGGAATGAGGAAGAACCATGAAATGAAACTGAGAATGGGTTAGGAAGAGTTTACTGTCCAGACAGCCAAGTGAAGGAAGTGTTTCTAGGAAAGGGGAGTGATAAAAAACAGCATCAAATCTATATAAAAAAAGAATAAGATGAAAACTAGAGTTGTTTGTTACATTTAACAGTGTGGGTAGAGATTGTGACCTTGTTAAGAACAGTTTCAGTGGAACTATGAGGAGAAAAGGAGTTGGAGAGAACTCTTACATTGATGGATTTTTATTTATTTAATAGACTATATTTAGAGCAGTTTTCAGTTCACAGGAAATAGAGCTGGAAAGTACAGAGATTTTTCATACACATCTCAACCCCCTCACACATGTACATATCCTCCTTCATTATCAACTTTCCCTATTAGAATGGTAATTTGTTGCAATTGATGAATCTGCATTGGCATGTCACTATTTTCCAGAGTTCTTAGTTTACATTATGGTTGTAATGTAAACTTGGTGTACATTTTGCAGGTTTGAACAAATGTATAATGGCATGTATCCAACATTACAGTACCATACAGAGTAATCTCATTGCTGTAAAATCCTCCATGCTCCACTTATTCATCATTCCCTTTCCCCCAATCCCTGGCAGCAACTGATATTTTTATTGTCTACATAGTTTTGTCAGGCTTTGGTCAGTTTTTTTAAATATATAAAATATTTCATAAAATATATAAAACATTACATAAAAGCATTAACATGTTTGGATTGAGATAATGGTTACATAGTAAAGAGAGAAAATTGTTACTATGTTTGCAAGGAGGACAATTGCTGGATCAGTGTCATGGAGGAAGTTGTTGAGCTTTGTTGGTTTATCTCTCATTTGTCTATCTATCTATCTATCTGTCTGTCGGTCTGTCTTTCTGTCTGTCTGTCTGTCTGTCTGTCTGTCTATCTATCTAATCTATCTATCTATCGATCTGTCTATCCATCCATCTAATGATAATAGGAGAGAAGCCACAATCTGTACACAGCTACATGGTAGATGTTTTGGACACTTGTAATTTTTTTAAAAAATTGCATCTATTTTCTCAGAGAATCTCAAGCAAGGTCATCAACCAAAAGTGCAGATGGTGAAGTGGGTTTTTAATATTTGAGGAGAGGAGACATAAAGGAACTATTTAGGAAAGTGGGAGAGTAATTGACTGTAATACAAAACAATCAGTTACACAAAATTAAAATTATATATTTTGTTTTATTTCGTAGGTCTTTCTTTCAAATCATATTTTATTATCCCAACTACTTATACAAGTAAATACATGAGGTAACTCCTCAAATATTTCCTTTCACTGATATCCATCACTTTGGTGATTTTAGTTTAAATATAAGTTCTAAATACTTTAAGTTGAATACTGAAACTAAACTATGGGCATGATTAATTCAATGACATCCCTATCACAAGGAAGACATGGAAATGGGAATTCATAGAAAAGGATACCGCTATGAGAAATTCACAATGTCTACTCAAGTTCAGTCATGAATGGCCATTCAAAAACAACTTTATTTGTATAGTAAGGTAGAATATATAAGTGCATAAGCCAAGTTCTCTTTATGAGAAAAGGAAGTTACACATAGGGAAAAGATAAAGGCAAGAGTAAACTTCGTGGTATGGGATTGAAATCAGTAGTAGCAATATGAATTGTAGTTTGTAAAATACATATTCAGACAGACAGTTGATAGATAGGAAAATAGATCAACGTAGATGTATGTGGGTGCATGAAGTATGTGGGTGTATAAGTGTGTGTATGTAATCTTCTAGTACTGTCCTTAGGGGGCCTAAAACCATTGACGCCCCAATAATGGACACACTGCCCACTCTGATCTCAGTTTCTATTGATAATTCTCCAATTAAAGGAGCCAGGGCTCCTTGTAGACATGGTTTATTTCAAGACTGGAGCAAGAAAAATGCAAGATGAATCCAGAGCACCTTATAGTTTTGGAAACTAAGTAAGTACTCAGAAAAAGCTGGGGGCTCACAGAAAGGAGAAAGGAACCAATGTAAAAAGAATCTTAATTGTAAAGATGGAACAATTGAGCAATAAAAGAAATAATAATAGTATTGGATCATAACCTCTAGAATAAATACTCATGATATAAATAAACAATTTAATAAATAAATAGAGAAGAGGGAGAATGTCTCCTTACAAAAGAATTCCAATTAATAAACGTAGAAGAAACAAGTGACAGATGAAATCACCACTAGAAAAACACAGTAAAGGTTGTTGCATACAAGACATATTGAAGGTTGCTGAAAGTAGTAGGTGAAGGTTTGAGGAAAAGTAGAATATTTACATACCCAAATATCTCTTCCAAGATACTCATTACTTGTAGAGGAAAAAATAGTAATTTTGTAATATAAAACCTGGTTGACATCACCTTAAGTTTCTGTTGCTCCATATTTTCACCAGCATTTTGTGTTATCAATGTTATGTCCTTTTCTGTACCAGGATCAGATCTAGAACTCCATATTGCATTTACTTCTTGTGTTCCTTCAGCTTCTTCCAAACTCTAACAATTCTATTGTCTTATTTTGCCTTTCATAACCTTGACATTTTTGAAGAATATTGGTAGGTTATCTTGTAGAATATCTCTCAATTCGGTTTTATATGGTGTTTTCTCATGATTAGATTGAGGTTCTATCTTTGTTTTAGCAAGAATACTGTAAAAGGTGTGTGGTGGTATTTCACTATTGTTTTCATTTGCAACTCTTTAATGACATATGATGTTGAGCATCTTTTTATAGGCTTATTTTATATCTGTATATGTTCTTGGTGAGGTGAGATATTTTTAAATCTTGCTCCCAGTTTTAAATTGGGTTCTTTGTTTTCTTATTGTTGAGTTTGAGTTATTTTTATATTTTGATACTAGCCCTTTAACCAACATGTGTTTTACTATGATTTCTTTCCAGTCTGTGGGTTGTCTTTCCATTCTCTTAATGAAATTTGATATATATTTTCCATTTTTATTTTAGATTCAGGGGATACATGTAGAGGTTTGTTACAAGGGTATATTGTGTGACGCTGAGGACTGGGGTATGATGGAACCAGTCACCCAGGTAGTGAGTATAGCATTCAGTAGGTAGTTGTTCAATCCTTGCCCCTTTCCTCCTTCTCCTAGCACCTAGTGTCTATTGTTGTCATCTTTATGTCCATGTGTACCCAAAGTCTAGCTCCTACTTGTAAGTGAGAATATGCAGCATTTGGTTTTCTGTTTCTGCATTAATTTGCTTAGGATAATGGCCTCCAGTTGCAATCATGTTGCTGCAAAGGACATTATTTCATTCTGTTTTATGGCTGTGTATATGTACCACATTTTTAAATCCAATTCACCATTGATGAGAACCTGGGTTGATTCCATGCCTTTGCTATTGTAACTAGTGCTGTGATGAACATTTGGGTGCATGTGCCTTTTTGGTAGGACAATTTATTTTCCTTTGGTATATACACAGTAATGGGGTTGCTGGGTTGAATGGTAGTTCTGTTTTAAGTTCTCTGAGACATCTCCAGAGTGCTTTCCACAGTGGGTGAACTAATTCACATTTCCACCAATAGTGTATAAGCATTCCCCGTTCTCTGCAGTCTCATCTGTTATTGTTTTGACTTTTTAATAACAGCTATTCTGACTGGTATGAATATCTTATTGTACTTTTGATTTGCATTTCTCTGATGATTAGTGATGATAAGTATTTTTTCACATGTTTGTTGGCTGCCTGTATGTCTTCTTAATGAGGTGGTTTTTCTGTTGTTGATTTGTTTGTTTCTTATAGATTTTAGATCTTAGGCCTTTGTCAGATGCATAGTTTGCAAATATTTTCTCTCATTCTATAGGTTGTCTATTTACTCTGTTGATAATTTCTTTTGCTGTGCAGATGCTCTTCAGTTTTTGTCAATTTTTAGTTTTGTTGCAATTGCTTTTGAGGACATAGCCCTAAATTCTTTGCCAAGGCTGATGTTGAAAGGGTATTTCCTACATTGTCTTCTAGTTTTTATAGTTTGAAATCTTACATTTAAGTCTTTAATCCATCTTGAATTAGTTTTTGTATATGGTAAAATGCTGGAGTTTAGTTTCATTCCTCTGCATATGGACAGTCAGTTATCCCAGCACCACTTATTGAATAGGGAGTCCTTTCCCCATTGTTTGTCTGATTTATAGAAGCTCAGATTATTGTAGTTGTACAGATTCAATGCTATTCTTATCAAGCTACCAACATTACTTTTCACAGAATAGGAAAATACTATTCTGAAATTCATATGGAACAAAAGAGCCCAAGTAGCCAAATAAATTCTGAGCAAAAGGAGCAAAGCTATTACGTGACTTCAAACTTCAAACTATATTATAAAGCAACCATAATCAAAATGGCATGGAACTGGTACGAAAACATACATATAGGTCAATGGAACAGAATAGAGAACCAAGAAGTTTGATACTTTTAATATATTTTATTTTTAGAGAAGTTTTAGGTTCACAACAAAAGGTACAATTATTTCCCATACACTTCTTACTCCTATGCATACATAACTCCCTCCATTATCAACATCCCCCACCAGAGTGGCACATTTGGTACAATTGCTGAACCTACATTGACTTGTCATTATCACCCAAAGTTTATAGTTTCATTAGGGTTGACTCTTAGTGTTGTACATTTTGTGGGTTTGGACAAATGCATGATGACATGTACCCAACATCATAGTATCATACAGAGTAGTTTCATTGCCCTAAAAATCCTTTGTGCTCTGCTTATTCATCCCTTTTTCTCTCCTAACCTCTTACTGTGTATGTTTTCTTTTCTTCATTTTTTGGTACAAAAATTGGAGAAGGATGGAAGAGTATCCTTTATGAGCATAATTGACATATAATGTTAATTAAATGACAACACAAATAGAAATGTGCTTAATATTTTCATGATATTTTGTTCTCACCAGTATAACTATGTCAACAATAATTCTGAACTTTGAAATAATAAGCAAGAACTTTGTTGTTTTGCTGTTTTGAAAAATATCTCATATTACATTTGAGACAGGCTGGGAATGATCACAAAGTGTTGTAGCAGCTGACAGTGAAATCAATTTATAATTGGCTTTCATACTTACATACTTATGCATAGATTGTTACAATAAACAAAAACAACCAAAATGAATAAAATTTTATAATACATTTCCTGCAAAACATTGAAATACATAAATTATGATAATAAAAGAGAAAATTGAATTTGTCAAGATTTTTATTGTTGAAATTGGACCTCTTCTTTTTTATTATTCTCTTTCACTTAAATGGGGAAAAGATAAAAATGGTATTGTAAAACTTAAGTCTTGAGATTTAAAGGAAATTTCATTAAAAATCAAGTTCATAAGAGGAAAACAATATCTATAAATAAGAACACTGAAGATGGTATTTTCAACCTAACATTATTTTGATGGAAAATTTTCATATTACTGTAATTTAAGGGGTAGCATCTTCACACTTTATTACAAACCTATTTTTTTAAAAAGAGAGAAATAAACAATGAGAGTGAAATGACTCTTTCATAATTTAATAGATCAATTCTTTCTAGTTTATACAATTTAATTTATTTTTTGCATGTCAAAAGAAAAAAAATCATGGGTAACAAACAATAACAAATGACATTATGTGCTCAAAAAATAATCAAAACTGTCAAAAAATGAATTGTTAAAGAAATATTCAACAGAAAATAGATATATTGAATAGATTTTCTGATTTTGTCACTGAGTTTATTTTCTCTAAGCACAAACTTAACTTTCTTTTATGCCTCAAAGCCATCATACCAGTAAGACTTTGCTAAGTTACAGACAAGGAAATAGGCTTCTGGATAACTCATAGGTTTTCTTTTGCAAATTTATCAAAATTTCCAGAATAGATTATGGGTTAGATTTTGTCTCTAAATGAACTCAACATACACTGGTAAAGAAAAAGCCTTTTCATCAATACAGAGTAAAAAGAAACTGTGATAACCGGTGACTTCTAGAAGTGAAAGTACTTTTAGAGTCTTTGTAATATTTAGCACTAACAAAGAAATAACAAAGGGTAAAACACGGTAGGTTAATTGATAAGGAAATTTATTGATCAGTGGGAGAGTTGGGGAGTGAACTGAAATTAGAAATTTGACTCCAGCAAATGAGTCACATATTCTAATTATATGAAAACAGGGCTGGTAGAAGCAAATTCAGGTCTGCGTCAGTGTGTATGCACACTGATCTTTTCAAATGGATCACTTCGAAGGCTAATGGCCCTGCTCTAAAAGGGCGGAATTAGATGCTAATCAGAACCCAGCTTCAACAGAAAGAAAGTTGAAGACTGAGGACCATAATTCCACGAATTTTTATTCACTGATGTATGCTTTCATACACCCAACAAGTGAATATAATTTTCCTGAAAATGTGGTCTAAGATAATTTGATTTTAATTCTAAGTAAAAAGAAAATTCTCCCAGTATTATCTAAAATCTAAAATTATTGTTCAGGAGGACTATTCTGGAGGTTGAAACTGCCTACACTCTACATGAAAATCTCAAGTGCAAATGATTGCAAAAAGCCTTTGTAGGGAAAAAACATGATTCATTTTAAGAGTTATTAAGGATGAAGGTAAAAATGAATGACTTATTTTCTTTAAATTTCTTCTTCTCCTTACTCTTTTCTATTGCCGCTCCTTTCTTCCATCCAGAGTTAATGCCTCCTTCAGTGCTGGTTACTCTGAAAGTAATCACTTGCATGGTTTTTAGCCCTCACAGCACAATGGCATCAGCTAAGGAGCACACCTACTTAAGGCAAATTAAGTCAGAATCTCAGGGATGCTGACACTTGATATTTGTGTTTTAAACGGCCTTCTTGTTGATTGTAATGTGCAGGCAAGTTTGAAAAACTACCTTCTTAGGTAGAGTTAACAAGGTAAGTCAGAAAGTTTTTTACCAACTAAACACCTACTGTCTACTAAGCAATTACCTTAGTATATAATTGGCAAGTAAGAGCAGCATAAATGCTAGGCTGTGCCATCATGTTTCTTACAAATTTGTTGCAGTTGAATACTGAGATGTATAAAAACATAATTTCTATAATCTAAGTTAGTAAGTGACCCTGTTAAGACTTAACTACTTGTTAAGGAAAAATGTAAAATACTTTATGATCAATTGACAAAGTGTGGCTTTGGTTGGACTTAACATTTATTAATACATCAGTTACAAGCTATACCTAAAAAATCTTCTTTTCCTAAAAGTTCCAATTCTCCAAAGTTTTGAATAATTTTCTCTTTTTCTTAAAAAAGCAATATTTCATTCAATTGCAATCTGGTATGTTTTCTGATTGGAAAAAAAGTTGCAGTTGCAGCTTGTAAGATCTAGAAATTGTGCACACTACTTAAACATCAATTATTGGTTTAGAGTTCTTTGGATTAGGGTGCATGAATTCAAATTTTAGCTTTGCAATTTTCTAGTTGTGCTTTCTTGAGCAATTCATTTAACCTCTTTGTATTTTTATCCTCTCATCTGTAAAATGGAGATAGTAATATTCCTGCCTTATCAAGATGTTGTGAGGAGTAAATGACTTAGAGTTCCTGGCCTATGGAAAGTACTATCTAAGTGTTAGTATGTTAAAGGTTTTCATGTTTAATGATTTTGAAAGGCTATTTGTATTTATTCATCTTGTAAATACTCATGCATGTGATGTTGGAAAATATTGTGCAACCATTTGCTTTATATTTATATTGTTGCAAAAATTTTTTGAATTATCATAATATGGGTATGCCTAGGGAGTAAATTATGAATGCAAATGTCTATTATTTCTTAGATAAAAATAGGCTGAGAGTCATTGGCATAGACCCAAAAAAATTTGGGAAGGAAGAGATCAAATTGGTATGAGCTGGCATACTTCACTTAATACTCATTCAAAAAAGAATGAGTTTAGGCACTGAAAGCATGTGGCATTTGAATAATCAAGGAAGAATTGGAAAGGGGTTGCTGATGCACCTCAGAAGTAAGCTTGACTGTGAAATAATATGAATTGAAGCAGGTGTCATAGCTGTCCCTTTTATTTTAGTCTAAGACTGGATTTTTTTACCTCAAAAAGTAATAGAGAAGGTACCCATACTACCTACGTATTTACAAGAAGATAAAGAGTTCTTCAGCATATGCCCAAATTTCTCTTCACACCCAATACACTGAAGTTGACAAAACATCAAGATATCCATAATTAATCAGCAATATTGTGATTAAAAATACACTACTAACAATAGATTTTCTATATTATGACATTCAAAAGGTCATTCTGAATAATTACAAAATATATGAGAAGATCATAATCATTACCATCATTTTTTATCACAATGAGAAAATTATCCTTTGTTTAGCAGCCTGGGAGCTTGAGTTTTTCTATTACCCTAAGATATTATTTCTTTAATGGCATCAATCTTTTTGGAAAAGCCCACTTCAGGACACTTAGTTCCAGGGGTTCTAGTTTCTAGTCTTGACTACAACTCTTATATCTCCTAAATAGATATTTAATTTTGAATAACTTACTAATATTTCAGTTTCCTTATTTTAAAAATGAGGGGTGTTACATTATACAAACAACTCACAGGGTTGTTGTAGAAAAACAAATATAACAGCATTCAAAGATGGTCTGTGAAAATAATATATGATTTTACATGTGTATATATGTATTTTTTTTCTGGGACTGCTACATTCTGAGCTGCAAATATTCTAATTTTGGTATCATTTTGTATTCAGTGAATGCATTTTTCATTGTAAACATCATTCTATGAGTAGCATCTAGAAATTGTCTGTTTTTTCTCTCTGAATCCTCAGCACTTAGTACAGTATGTAGTATATACCACGTTTTTAAAATGTTGCGTTTGAATAAATGTTAAAACATGTAATATAGTGTAGTAAATTAAGTCCTGGAATTAAAAGCAGAAAGACCAGATTTAAACTCTAGCTTTTTTTCTTATTGGCTTAATAACTTTGAGAAGAATCTTACATTTTTGGAATCTTAATTTTCCTCAATGCTAGGATAACGGCACCAGCATGAATTTACTAAAAACTATTGATATAACCCCATAAAACTGCATAAAATTTAAGTGAGCTCATTGACTCAATGAAGCCCATCCACTAACTTTATTTTGCACAAAATATCTCTCTGTATCTATGTGACAGCGTATATTGAACACCTACTATGAGGCCAGAACCCTGCTAGGCATTGAGTTACAGCCAGAAACAATAAAATTATGCTTTCTGATTTTATGATGCTTATAATCTGTGGAGTGTAAAAGACATTCATAAAATAACCACACTAATAAATAAGAATTGCCATGAAGCAAAGAAATCTAGTTCTCTGAAAGCACTGAAAAATTGATGGTCAGAAAAGACTTCCCAGGAACATAAAACTGAAACTGAGATTTTGAGAATGAATAAAAATTAATAGGTAAAGGTAGGGGTAGACAAAATGTAATCTGGGAGGAGGGACTAGCAAGTGCAAATAATCCGTTGCAAGAAACAGCATGATCTAAAAGAGAAAATTTTAAAAAGACTGCTGTTCTGAAGAGCAGAAAGCAAAAACTAGAAAAGGTTGAGATGAGAATGGAGAGGCAAGCATGCCATTTTACAATGCAGTAAGGACTTTAGTCTATATCCTAGGAGAAATGGGAAAAAAATTCTCCAAAGTTCTTCCTAATGCCAAAATTACATAATAAAATGTTCTTTAAAACATTTATGTGAGACCCTCAAAAAATCTATATCTGATTTCATTAAAAATATTTTCTACATTGTTTTTCAACAGTGATTATGATCACGGCATTTAAAATCCAGTTTATCTGAAAGAATGTCATTTCTATGAGCCTTTGGCCAACTCCAGAATAGGAAGAAAATGTTTTTACATTTTAAAATAATCGTTTTCAAACTGTTAACAAATGGGAAAAAAATTAGTAATTTAAAAAATATGAAGTAAAACTTTGGTCTGGAAAACACCTATTCAACCACCTCCTTTTTACTTAATGTAACTGTGATTCTCCTTTCCACAAATCTACAATTGAAATGCACACAAACATAGTCATAATATACAAATATTCACTAATTAAACCACCACTTATTCAATTAGTCCCCACTCAGACATTCCTGTTAGTTTAACATAACATTTATCATCACCTATTACATCAATTAATTCATCAACATTTAAATAAATTTCTTGCTAATGTGCAAACAGACATCTAACTACTTTCTCTCTTTACTTTTTTTTTTTTTTTTGAGGCACAGTTTCATTCTTGTCACCCAGGCTGGAGTGCAATGGCATGATCTCGGCTCACTGCAACCTCTGCCTCCTGGGTTCAAGCGATTCTCCTACCTCAGCCTCCCAAGTAGCTGGGATTACAGGCATGTGCCACCAAGCCTGGCTAATTTTGTATTCTTAGTAGAGACAGGTTTCTCTGTGTTGGTCAGGCTGGTCTCGAACTCCCTACCTCAGGTGATCTGCCCACAGTGGCCTCCCAAAGTGCTGGGATTACAGGCATGAGCCACTGGGCCCAGCCTACATCTAAGTACTTCCTATTATCTATCTCTCTGTCTGTCTATCATGAGCATTGCAAAAAACTATTAAAAATGTAAATAAATTTCAAGCTTAAATTGTAATGCTTGCAACTGATACATGGTTTTAGAAAGTCCAAGGAAGTGATGTTGGAGATATTCTGAAATGTCAGACAAAATACTATCAAATAAAGAGTATGGTAGCGGTATTGAACACTTACTATGTGTCAGGCACTGTCCTAAAATATATACCTATTTTTAGTCCTCACAGGAAGTCTACCAAGTAGGTACTGTATCCCCACTTTTAGATGGAGAAAATAATTCATACAGAGGTTAGGAACTCATCTCTGTAATTTATCTCAGAAGGAATAAGCTAGGCTTCAAATTCTGGCAATCTGAATCAGAGGACACAACACTCTACTGTCTCTTGTACTGGCATAATTAAATCAGTTAAAAATAAATTTAAAATTAATGATATGACTGGTATTTAAAAATGGAATGACTTGAATATAAAGGATTAGAGGAAGCTCTCAGGGAAATTGATAAAGTTCTTGAATAATTTGAAGAAACTGTCATCTTTATTGTGTTTTAAATGTTAAAATTTAAGAATATTACATTGGGCTAATATACAATTTGGCTGGAATAACCACATATATACAATTCATGATTTCTAGAACTTAATGCACAGTCTAATTTGTGTTAAATGTATGACAAAAAACATTATTTTAAATAAAATTTAGCTTTACTTTTGAAGTCCTAAAGTTTTTTTCCCTATTTACCAGTAAGTTTCAGTGTGCATTTATTGTTAATAATTTTGTTTGTTTGCTTTCAACTGTCTAACCCTCTACGTAGTTGGTTTAACTCCTCATCACATGCAATATTTGTAGAATGCAGTACACTGCCTTCCTCTAAATAAGAAAATAATAGTGCTTTTTCTGTCATTGGCCTTACACACACATATTCAGGATCAGCCAATCATTCATTACTTCCTGGGATTTTGAATCTTAGAGAGTAATGTGAAGTGCAGAGACAGTTGAGAAGCTATTTATTTGGATGGGGGTGGCTGCAAGAAAGATAGTAGTGAGAGTCAAGCAGCCCCAATGGGGACTGCTAGTGGTGACAATATTGAGTAAAGCAATGGCAGCGTTGCCATTAGTAATATTTGACCTGGCAGTTCCTGTGGGGTGAACTTAGCAGTGGTTTTGTAGTTTAGTCATTCTCTCTTGGTTTTTGTCTATTTTCAAAGCCTTCGTTTACTCCAAGAAACAGACAGCAGGTGGGTTAAGACATAAGAGAGACTCATTTGAGGAAACTTCCTCAAGACAATGAAAGGGAAATAAGCAGAAATAAGCCAGGAAAGTTTCCAGACTGCAATGCAGGTCTAACATCCATGAAAGTAGAGGAAGATAAGGTCAGGATTGGTTATTTCTAAGAGAGTGTTGGTCAGACCAAGGAGATACCCCTGAGTAAAAGTTGCACATTAGAGGAATCCTATATTGGACAGAAATGGCAAAACTTATCTATTCCATCTTCCCTGTGCTCAGTCATTGGCTGGGAGCAGAATGGAGAAAGTATTGTCTGACGTGAATGTCAGGGTGGCTCCAAAGGTGTGTTTTCATACTCACCACATTGGGTCTCCGAATTATCATTAATTCTATAAATTGTTGCTTGATATTGTTTCAGAAATGTTCTTTTTCTGTTTAACTTATTCAGAGTCTTATTTGTTTGCAGCCATGACCAACTTATATCTTTTTATAAAGTCTATTTTTTAGTCACTTTTTATTGGTACCAGTTGTTATTGAAGATTTATGACTTGTTTTTATCATCCATAGGATTAGTACTTTTAGTGGGTGTTTACAAGTACACTGTCCTGAAATGTTAATATTTCAAGTAAACATTTCACTGCAGGCTTTTCTTAGCATTGCCCTCTTAAAGAGATTTCTCATTTTTCTTAAGGTAAATCCAAAACATAAGTCATTACATGGTCTGATGACCTGCATCCTACTTGCATCTGGCTCTAATATGGCACGATACTTTTCCTTACTCTGCTTTCAAATCACAATGCTGTCTCAATTCCATTCAGGTACTGTGCTGGCTCATGTCCTCTAAGAAGCAGGTTCCAAGAATAGATGAGCAAGAGAGGCTTGAGAAGGATAAAAAAGAGGTGGCTAGAGAAGAAAAGGCGAGACTTTACAATACAGATCAGATATCTGTGAAGGAAAAGTGGAGGGAAGAAGAGTCAAAGACTGCAGAGCCATTCCAATGGTTCAGCCATGTTGATAAGGAATCAATCAATGAGCCAAAGTTTCCTGTGAAAAAGCTTCTATGTCTCATAAGAATGAGCCTCTGTGAGTACTCCCAACTCTGCTCAGAACTTGGTAGAAATCCAGAAGTAAGCAGCTAGGGCTGTCAATCAATTATGCTACCTGCAACAGTAGACCTGAGAAGCTCATTGTTTATGGCCACCATGTCCACCCACCTTTCCAAAGAGTATTTTTTCTCCATGCAGTTCCAGGAAACAGCTTCTTCATAATATCTTTAGGCTTGTATGTCTGAGATACAACATAGAAGAAGGAAGTTAGTAGGAAAAACTATAGCCCACATTTCTGTAGTTCATCTCCAGGCTACAATTGATATTTACCTTCTCCCCTTTTACTCTCCATTCTTCATTTCTTTCATCTTCAACCATCACTAGGGTGTGCAATAGAGACATACATACTTGATGATGTCATCCAAACTTTCATTCTTTAGTGATCTGAGATTTTGGCAAGTATACACTTCTCAGGCCAGGGTTACTACACATATCCATTCACAGTCACAATGGGAAACACACTACCAGGAGATACCCATGTGGGTGACCTGGATCTATATATATTTCTCCATGACTAAATTGTGCAAAACCATCCCTACACCCTCCTGCTGATGACGTTTAATTGTTCCTGTCAGGATGTGACTACTTTTCTTACTTGTTGGTTCCTGTACACAAGGAGTTTCAGGTGCACTGGGGGCAGCCTTAGCTTGTACTTCAATGGGACCTTTTTTGTGTCCCTGCTCTTTGGGTACAAGGATCTCCAAGCATGCAGATGCCAGAGGGGTGAGGATAGGAAACCCAAGGTCTTCCATTAGGTCATTGAGGGGGATGGCTACTGAAGTCACTCTTTTTTTTTATCCTTTGGTTCCTGGATCCACGTAGTCTTCCTTTTGAGGATACAGCATAATATAAAGATCTTTAACTTAATGAATATCTTTCACTCTAAAAGATGGCACCCCAATCTTTCAGAGTGTTTTCTCAAAACTAACTTTTCAGCTATGTCTTCAGTAGGCCATTCCAGTGATCTGTGAGGCCAGCTGCCTCTGGATGGCATGGGATAGGCTATCACCCAAGATGGTCACAAATTCACTGATGTACCTCTTTCATTGTGAATGGATCCCTGGTCATACACAATGTTGTGTAGGATTCCATACCTGTGGATCAGGAATTCTTTAACTACTTACATTGTGGTACTGGCTGAGCTTCTGAGAGCATGAAAGGCTAATTCACACATGGAATAGATTTCTGTCCTTGTGTCAATGTACTGTTAGCTCTTAAAAGACGAAAGGGGCCAAATGCAGTTTACTTGCCACCAAGTGGCTGGTTATTCCCCTCAGGGAATATTGTCATTCCAGCAGCTCGGGTTTGGCCATTGCTTTCTTCAGGTTTCTAAGAACTACCCTAAAAGCAACTTTTTCCCATAACCTGTTTTTTTTTTTCTATGAGTTAAATTTCATGTCCTTATAAATAACCTCTGAATTAGTAGATTTCTGCTAATCCAGTCTTGTCTTATGTTTTGCCTCCTTTGATCAAGCACCCTCAAAATCAACACTGGGGGCACTTCTGCCAATATGTGCTATCTAAATCTTGCTTCTATTCAGTGTATAATATTTTCCTCTGTTATTAGGACCATTAAATCCCCATCCAAATTATGCTGGGATTTAAGTCTGGCAGCTATGAGAGAAGGTGAATTCAGATTCCAAGGGAGGTATCTGTTGTTCTGTTGGGGACAGCCCTGTACCAAGTCTTATGAAACTGGAGAATTCCTAGCTATTAATAGGTAAGAAAGGGGCAAATCTGAAAGGTCTGAGGGTACATAAGGGTCTGAAGACATTCTCAGAGGAATCTAATCAGACGTCCTTACATTATGTTTCAGGCTGCTAGAATTTTTTCAGCTGAGACCCTGCATAACAGACCTACCTTGACCATTTAAATGATTCTGAATCTCTGAGACTGCATCAGATTCTTACTCTACTGTATTAGTCTGTTCTTACACTGCTGTGAAGAAATGCCCAACACTGGGTAATTTATAAAGGAAAGAGGTTTAATTGACTCACAGTTCTGCATTGCTGGGGAGGCCTCAGGAAACTTACAATCACGGCAGAAGGTAAAGGAGAAGCAGGTGTCTTCTTCAGAGGGCAGCAGAACAGAGAGAGTGTAAGTATGGAAAATGCCAGATGCTTATAAAACCATCAGATCTCATGAGACTCACTCACTATCACCAGAACAGAATGAGGGAAACTGCCCCCATGAACCAGTTACCTCCACCTGCTCCCGCCCTTGACACATGGGGATTATGGGATTACAGTTCAAGATGAGATTTTGGGTGGGGAAACAGCCAAACTGTATCATCTACTATTTCAGTGGAGGAATATAAGACCTCTTTAAAAATCTGTCAAAAAGGCACTATGGTCTTCATATTGAGCCTTTAACAGTTGTTCATAGCCTTCCATTTTTATTCCCTCCTGGAAACAATACAAGTTAGCATTAAGTAGCCAACTTCATTGTCCTTGTAGGACTTTACATTAGTTCATGTCCTCTAAGCAGCAGATAGCAAGATGGGATTAAATTTGCAAGGGCTGGCCAGGAACAGTGGCTCACACCTGTAATCCCAGCACTTTGGGAGGCCCAGGCAGGTGGATGACCTGAGGTCAGGAGTTCAAGACCATCTTGGCCAACATGGTGAAACCCTGTCTCTACTAAAAATACAAAAATTAGCCAGGCATGGTGGCATGTACCTGTAGTCTCAGTTACTGGGCAGACTGAGGCAGGAGAATCACTTTAACCTGGGAGGTGGAGGTTGCAGTGAGCCTATTTGCACCACTGCACTCTAGCCTGGGCGACAGGGTGAGACTCCGTCTCAAAAAAAATAAAAATTGCAAGGGTGTATTAGGAAAGTATTGGTGAGAAAAAATTGAGGTAGAGACAGAAAATAGTAGGAGAACTGTGAGACAATATGGAGCTAAGAGGGAAGGAAGATGGGTAAAGGTGTCCTACACTATTACAAAGTCTAATGAATCTTTGTCATGGCCAACAGAGTGTCCTACAGACGAAATTGCCTACTATGTCTTCCATGTCTCCCAGGAGCATGCCTGCCTTACAACCCTTCAAGTGTTCAGTCATTGGCTGGGGTAAGTTTATGGAAAGCATAGCCTTGGAGATAAATGTGATGTATTTCGGTGCATAGCATCTAGAGCTCTTGGTCAAGTTATTTATATTTGAAGTTCTGCAAGGTGAATTTTCATGGCAGCCATTGAATCAACCTACTCATATTTTCCAAATGCCTGCAATGGTATTTCCTTCCAATGGGTATCTTTGATCAGTTTGGTGTTCCACGTGGCACTCAGAGTGGCATCTTCTTTGCCTTCTAGGTGCTGAATGAGACAATTACAAACCCTATTATTATTGCCTATTTTTTGGATCACAGCTAACACCACTTGTGTTCATTCATGTCCCCTGAGAAGCAGACATCAAGATGGAATGAGACGTGCCAGATAATTTTGGAAGGAACTCCTGAAAAGAGTAAAGGAAAGGGAACATGAGGCTAGGGAAGCCTTAATACCACAGTGTAGGTGTAACACCTGTGAAGGAGAAAGGGAAGAAAGGAAAATCGTATAGGAGGAGTCATAGGCTGCAGTACAGTTCTAAGAAAGTTTCAACCAGATTGATTGGAAGTTCTTGAGTTAATGAAAGAATCTCTATCTCACAGAAACGTACCTGCACTTATAGCCCCATCATGATCTTTCATTGACTGAGAGTGCTCTGTAAGAACTGTAATCTCAGAGTGAATGAAGGGGAGACTATATATAGGAGCAGCTGAGATCAGTCAATTATGCTCTTCACATTATGCCCCACTCCAGACACCACAGTCTCTGCAGCTATAGGGCCTTTTTATATTCTCTCTAGTTGTTTTTTTTTTCTTCCAACTCTTTCTACCCAATATCAGTTTTTTAGATCTGCCCTAACAAAGTTACAAAGTTTAAGTACTGAGTGCTTAAAACAACAGAAATTTATTCTCTGAAAGTTCTGGAGGATAATGATCTGTCATCTGGGTCAGTTTCTGACTCTGTGGGAGAAACCATCTCATGACTTTCTCTTAGACTCTAGTTGTTGCCAGCAGCCCTTGGCATGCCTCAGCTTGGAGACTAAGAATCCAGTCTTGGCCTCAGTCTTCACATGGCCTTCTCTCTATATGTCTTCACATCATCTTCTCTCTTTGCATATTTGTGTTCAAATTTCCCTCTTATGATAAGGACACTGGTCTTTGGATTAGAGCCCATTCTCATACACTATGACCTCATCTTAAATTGATTGCATTTCCAAAGACACTATTTTCAAAAAAGGTCACATAATACGGTTCCTTGTAGACATAAATTAGGGTGATGCTCTTCAACCCAGAGCATATCGCTTTCTCTCTTCTGGCCTAGCTAACTCTCTGTCTTTCTTCAGATTCAGGTCAACTGTCAGTTCCCAGTATTTTCCATGACCAGGTTCATTTTTCCTGTTTACTCCATTGTAGCATCATTTACTCTTTGCAGCATTTATCACAGAGCGATTTTATATTCATTCATGTAATTCTTTTATTGATGTCTATCTTCCCATGCCAACCTGCATGCCTTAAAAAAGCAAGGAATTTCTCATATTTTTTGCTCACTGCTGTATCCCTAAAATATAGTATAGTGCCTGTCATGTAGTGGGTACAAAGAATAAAAAATTAATAAAAAAGCAAATGGCTCATATGTTGAAGTAAAGAACAAAGGAAGAATGGTCGGAGAGGGTGGTAATAACATTGTGGAACCATCTCTGCTCTCTGTTAGTAGAAAAAAGAAGCACTGAGGTAGGTAACGTTTCCTTTGTTCACAATTTCTTTATAAATTCTGCCATTAGAGTCTTCCTAGATTGTCCATGAACATTGGTGAGGGAAGTTGAAGAACTGATGGTTGGAGTTCTGGAGGATCCCGAGGCAAAGGAAAAAAAAAAAAGAGAAGAAAGAAAAAATAACAAGAAGAAATAGTGCGCTGGCTGAGGGGGCTTAGACTGACATTTAGAAGGCTAATTGAATGTGGTGGCAATCATAAAGTCGGAATAAATAAGGCAGGCCATGACTGCACTGACAGTAAGGATGGATTAAAGTCTGTCTACAATCAAAATAGATTACAATTTCTTTTCCTTAAACAACGTATTGCTGCACACCATTAACCTGACTAATTTCTATATTTTCCGTTTTCATGGAAGTCTATATTTTGCCAGTGTGAAATTTAAAAATTGAGGCTGGTGAAATTGCATAAAACCCCAGTGCAAGAGAAACAGGGAATTTTCAATGACAGTGTACCAGACATTAGGCACCGTCCGCAGGTGGCCCCTTCAATTAGAGACTTAAAAATATGATCCAACCAAGAAACAAGTGCAAAGGTATAAAGTGTGAGAAAAACGGAGAAAATAGGTAACCAAATGGAACCTAGAAGAAAAAAGAAAACTGAAGATGCACCAAAAAAAAAATTGTTTTATAAATCCACCCACTAGCCAAGCTGTGTCTTTTTCAAACTCATGGAACTTTGCAAAAGCTTAAATGTCCATACTTTTATTGTTTTAGTTGTGATGGCATTTGGGGTAGTATTGATAGAATAATTCAGGGAAGTCATGTGATAATTTATTTCTTACCATAACTGGGAGGTTAGGGGCAAGCAGTGGATGTTGGTTTAAATTTTAGTTCAGGGTTCTGCAGAATTCAGAAGGCTTTGCAAACTAGCCAGGACTTGAAAGTGCTAAATTTGACTTTAAGTTCCTATTCTCTTGCAAATGTGAAACTTCTAAAAAAATTCAAATTTGTTCCCACTTCCTATGTTTAAGTGAGCAGCCTACTGTTCTTCAAATACTGCTCAATACTCATTTGTTGATTATATCACAGAATTTCACATAGGAGTCACACGGGCTGTTGGATTCCAATTGCTACCTACTTCTGCTCTTGTCCTTTATCAGCTAGGCTGCTATTAGCACCACTATTATATTTCTAATTGGCATGTATCATTTGACTTGTGCATGAGGGAAATGTTCCAAATACCTATCCTCTGATTTTCATTGACAGTTCTTTAAGTTGCTTTGGAAGTGTTGTAGCATTTTGCTCCTTAAGGCAGAGTCAGAGACTAAGGAAAAAGTTAAAATCTGGAAGAAATATTTTAGCTACTAAAAATGATTGAATGAGAAACTTATCTTCCTTAAATGTTATTTTATGTAGAACGTTCTTTTCCTCAGGCATCAAGCAATAAATAGAAGAAGTATTGAAACTAGTACAGAAAATGAGAGTATCCAAACACATCTTTAAGCAGAGAAATTGATCAGTTCAACCTACAGGGATAATGATACATTAGCTTCTTAGAAAAGAAAACAGAGGAGGCATCTTATTTTTCAGTTATGAAGAAGGGAAGTCATTAAAGAGCTAAATAACTATAGGGATGTAATTATAAGAAGAGACAAATCTATTGGATCAATAATCAGCCTTAATAAAAGAGAACCTGTGACAGAAGGATTCAGAAAATTGAACGACATTTGAACACTGGAAATTGACCTAATATTTAACTTCAAAAAAAAAAAAAACAATACATCATGCAAGTATACACATATGCATTCACAAATATATTAGTTGAAATGGGCAGGGGAAAATGGAAAGATATAAAAAAGTGTCTAAAGCAAACCACATGAAGTATTTATGAATATATTAGAAAATTTATCTTATAGACAGTCTATTTCAGTAGCTTATCAGTAAATATCCCTATCCTATCAGCATCTCTCCCTTGATTGAAGCATTATAACTTCAATTGCTGAAATGCTATCTTTTAGTACTCTGCAGAGTGGCTATAGAGTTAGCTTCTTGAAGCCAGAAGTTGTTTACTCAGAACCACAGAAAACTTGGCTTCATATGTCTGATACAAAGGCACACATGCACGCACGCACACACATACACACACACACACAACATGGATTAACTTTGTACATTGACCCTAAAGGGTCTACAGGGGGACAACATGAAGAGATAAGGAATTTCCAGAGATTTAAAGCCAAGTTTTGAGCTGTTGCCATTCAGGATTATTATAGCCTTAACCTCAAAAGCAATGACTATCCTTGATGTTTATCACAAAGGACAATTATTTCTAAACTGTGTGAGAGTAAAGCCTTAGTAGAAACAGTCTCTTTAGAAATCATTGCCACGATTTCAAGGTTTTATCTAGCACCAAATGATGGGTCGATTTAGTTGTATTGGCAAACGAAGAAAAATAGAGACAAAAACAAGTAGCAGATACTTGCAGGAAAGTTTGTTGAAATATTATTAATGAGTAAACCCTGTACAGATGCTCCTTAACTTATGATGGGGTTACATCTTCATAAATCCATCCTAAACTGAACATATCATATGTCAATAATATGCCTAGTACATCTAACCCACCAAACACTATAGCATAGCTTACTATACCTCACATGTGCCCAGAACACTAATATTAGCCTACAGTTGGGTAAAACCACCTAACACAAAGCTGATTATATAATAGAATGTCAAATATCTCATGTGATTTATTGAACATTGTATTGAAATGTGGCTTCTACTGAATGTGTATCACTTTCATATCATTGTAAAGTCAAACAGTCATTACATTGAACCATCTTAAGTCAAGGGCAATCTGTAGATTATTTCTTAAAGAGATGACTAAATATAGCATTTTTTGGGCAAGTAGTTTTAATAATCTAGGTTTTTTAATTCAGCCATTATCTACAAAGCACACTAATAAAGAATCACATGGCTACAATGAAATGATCAAAGTCTTAATTGATTATCTTTCTAATATTCTTTTGTACTCTAACTTGTAAAAAGGAGTCAGGACAATGTGTTTAAAAATTTGCATCCTTAAAATGCTGATGGAGGATCAATTGTATTTATTTGTTCTTATCCCTTAATCAACAGGGAAGAAGAAAATAAAATGGTAACAGTATTTTAATTACTAGAAATTAGAAATTATGGTAGTACAGTGTAAAAAATAAGCTTCCTGAAAAGAAAAAAAAATGAGGTGGAAAAGTGTAAGCAAATAAGACGACATTAAGCAAAAACTCTTACTAAAGGAGTCATGATGAGCACAAGCCTTTTCTCATGGAGGTGCAGAGAGATAAATATGACAGATATGAATGTACCTGGCTTTCATAGAAAGATTTATTTTAAAAATACAAGAACAGAGATTGACTATCTTAACCAGTTCATTTTTAAAGGAACTATCAATTTTAAAAGTCATGAACCTCAGGCATAGAGTAAAACAGGCTTGGAGTGATAATGGAAAGTACGTAAAAATCTGTTTTTCTCAAGGCACCCTGTGGACATGACTATCTTTGATATTTTCTAAGGAAACAGAATTGCATAATGCACCATCCTCATAGTAATTTAACACTTTTTCTAAAGCCTGAAAAAGACTAGAATAACGTTAGGAAGGAAGAAACACAAACTCACCCAGAGCTACTATGAAAATGCTTCACTGAAGCTGATAATGTTCAACATGAATTGGCTTCAGAAACTATTTTTACCAGACTTCTCAAAGCACATTTTCTAATAATGGAGCTGTTTATTCTTTGAAAATTAGTAAGATATTGGGCTACTTATCACAATAGTAGAACTTTGTTATCTTCCACCAGTTCTAGGCAGGAGTTCTAGGTTCTAAGTGACACCTCTCCTTTCCTGTCCATAAAATCTGATTAACAGACTCATGAATGCTTCTTTCCAAAATTATGAATCTCAGTAGAGAAATAATACTCTCAAGAAATAATTTTCTATTTAAGATAGGTGTTTCAGAAAAAAGATTTTAAATTCATTACCTAATTTTAAATGTGGATTCATAGATACTTTCTATGATTTTAGAACAATAATTAAGGTCTCGTATGTGCTGTGAACTGTTGTAAAATCTGGGGATACAGCAGTAAGTAAGACAACTATTCTTAAAAGTTTACATTCTAGAAAGGAAATAAATAGTACACAAAGGAATAATTGAACAAAGAAATGTCAGATATGATAAACTATTAACAGGCTAACTTTTGTTGAGCTTCAAATGTGCACTATATTCTAGATAATAGTATATATCTGTGAACAAAAGAAGGGCAACTCTGCTCTCAAGAAAGTTATATTTATTGGAACAGTCAGACAATAAATAATATAGTTGTGTTTGTATGTGTGTGCACAATTCAGAAAATAATGAATACTTTAAAATTAAAAATAAAATAGGAGATCATATTAGACTGGAAAAGGGTAAGGAACGGTTGCTTTAGATAGGGTGGCCAAGGAAGGCCTTCCCTTTATAAAAAGTTAACCTTTCTATATTATTTCTTTTATTAAAGTCTTTTTTATTTGTGTGGGTACATGCTAGGTGTATGTATTTATGTGGTACATGAGATATCTTGATATAGGCTTACAATGCATAATAATCTCAGGGTAAATGGGGTATCAATCACCTCAAGCATGTATTCTTTCTTTGTGTTGCCAACAATCCAGATATACTCTTTTAGTTATTTTTCAACCGATAATAAATTATTGTTGACTGTAGTCATCCTGTTGTGCTATCAAATACTAGATTTTACTCATTCTGTCTAATTACATGTTGTACCTATTAACCATTCCTTTTCCCACTACCCACTATGCTTTTCAGTCTCTGGTAACCATCAAGGACTTTATTTTTTAAAGCAGTTTTAGATTCACAGCAAAATTGAGAGAGGAAGCTACAAAGATGTTTTTCATATTCTCCCTGTCCCCACACATGCACAGCCTTCCTAATCAACATCCTCTACTGGAGTAGCACATTTATTACAATTGATCATCCTACATTGACACATCATTATCACCCAAAGCCCATAGTTCACATTAGGGTTCACTGTTAGTGTTGTACATTCTATGGGTTTGGACAAATGCATAATAATATGTATGCAACATTATAGTATCATACAGAAGTGTTTCACTGCCCTAAAAATTGTCTGTGTTCCACCTATTTAACCATTCCCACCACCCAACCCCTGGCAACTATTGATATTTTTACTATCTCCACAGTTTTACCTTTTCCAGAATGTCATATAGTCAGAATCTTACAATATGTAATCTTTTCAGATTGGCTTCTTTTAGTTAGTATTATGCATCTTAGATTCTTCCCTTTTTTATGGCTTAACAATTCATTTATTTTTAGCACCAAATAATATTCCATTGCATGGATATACTACATTTTATTATCCGTTCAACTACTGAAGGACATCTTGGTTGCATCCAAGTTTTGAAATTATAAATAAAGCTGCTATAAACATCTGTGTGCAGACTTTTTTGTGGACAATAGCTTTCAACTCCTTTGAGTAGATGCCACGGAGGATGATTCCTGGTTTGTATGGTAAGACTATATTTAGTTTTGTGAGAAGACAAATTGTCTTCCAAAGTGGCTGTATCATTTTACATTTCCATCAGTAATGAATGAGAGTTCTTGTTGCTCCACATCCTTGTCAGCATTTGGATTTTGATCATTCTAATAAGTGTAGTGTTATCTCATTGTGTTTTAATTTGCATTTCTCTGATGACATATGATGTGGAACATCTTTTCATATCCTATTTTCCATCTGTAAATGTTCTTTCATGAGGAGTTTGTTAAGGTTTTTGGCCCATTTTTAAATTTGTTTTCTTATTGTTGAGTTTTAAGAGTTTTTGTATACTTTGAATAACAATCCTTTATTGGATGTGTTTTTTTACAAATATTTTCTACGAGTCTGTGACTTACGTTCTCATTCTTTTGAGACAGGCTTCTTTGAGAAGGTGAAATTTGCTATAAGACTTGAGAAAGTGAGGCAGAGAGCTTTACGGGTATCTAAAGAAGGAAAGTTCCTATAAGAGGATTGTCAAGCGCAAATGAATATATATTTCATGTGATCTATTGTGTACCATCAGGAAATTAAGTGATTCGACCAATATAGGTTATTTTCACCACCAATTTATAGGAAAAATAATTTCATTATAAATTTTTGTTTTTTTTTTTATTTTTATTTTTTATTATACTCTAAGTTTTAGGGTACATGTGCACATTGTGCAGGTTAGTTACATATGTATACATGTGCCATGCTGGTGCGCTGCACCCACTAATGTGTCATCTAGCATTAGGTATATCTCCCAATGCTATCCCTCCCCCCTCCCCCGACCCCACCACAGTCCCCAGAGTTGCACCCACTAATGTGTCATCTAGCATTAGGTATATCTCCCAATGCTATCCCTCCCCCCTCCCCCGACCCCACCACAGTCCCCAGAGTGTGATATTCCCCTTCCTGTGTCCATGTGATCTCATTGTTCAATTCCCACCTATGAGTGAGAATATGCGGTGTTTGGTTTTTTGTTCTTGCGATAGTTTACTGAGAATGATGGTTTCCAATTTCATCCATGTCCCTACAAAGGATATGAACTCATCATTTTTTATGGCTGCATAGTATTCCATGGTGTATATGTGCCACATTTTCTTAATCCAGTCTATCATTGTTGGACATTTGGGTTGGTTCCAAGTCTTTGCTATTGTGAATAGTGCCGCAATAAACATACGTGTGCATGTGTCTTTATAGCAGCATGATTTATACTCATTTGGGTATATACCCAGTAATGGGATGGCTGGGTCAAATGGTATTTCTAGTTCTAGATCCCTGAGGAATCGCCACACTGACTTCCACAATGGTTGAACTAGTTTACAGTCCCACCAACAGTGTAAAAGTGTTCCTATTTCTCCGCATCCTCTCCAGCACCTGTTGTTTCCTGACTTTTTAATGATTGCCATTCTAACTGGTGTGAGATGATATCTCATAGTGGTTTTGATTTGCATTTCTCTGATGGCCAGTGATGATGAGCATTTCTTCATGTGTTTTTTGGCTGCATAAATGTCTTCTTTTGAGAAGTGTCTGTTCATGTCCTTCGCCCACTTTTTGATGGGGTTGTTTGTTTTTTTCTTGTAAATTTGTTTGAGTTCATTGTAGATTCTGGATATTAGCCCTTTGTCAGATGAGTAGGTTGTGAAAATTTTCTCCCATGTTGTAGGTTGCCTGTTCACTCTGATGGTAGTTTCTTTTGCTGTGCAGAAGCTCTTTAGTTTAATTAGATCCCATTTGTCAATTTTGTCTTTTGTTGCCATTGCTTTTGGTGTTTTGGACATGAAGTCCTTGCCCACACCTATGTCCTGAATGGTAATGCCTAGGTTTTCTTCTAGGGTTTTTATGGTTTTAGGTTTAATGTTTAAATCTTTAATCCATCTTGAATTGATTTTTGTATAAGGTGTAAGGAAGGGATCCAGTTTCAGCTTTCTACATATGGCTAGCCAGTTTTCCCAGCACCATTTATTAAATAGGGAATCCTTTCCCCATTGCTTGTTTTTCTCAGGTTTGTCAAAGATCAGATAGTTGTAGATATGCGGCATTATTTCTGAGGGCTCTGTTCTGTTCCATTGATCTATATCTCTGTTTTGGTACCAGTACCATGCTGTTTTGGTTACTGTAGCCTTGTAGTATAGTTTGAAGTCAGGTAGTGTGATGCCTCCAGCTTTGTTCTTTTGGCTTAGGATTGACTTGGCAATGCGGGCTCTTTTTTGGTTCCATATGAACTTTAAAGTAGTTTTTTCCAACTCTGTGAAGAAAGTCATTGGTAGCTTGATGGGGATGGCATTGAATCTGTAAATTACCTTGGGCAGTATGGCCATTTTCACGATATTGATTCTTCCTACCCATGAGCATGGAATGTTCTTCCATTTGTTTATGTCCTCTTTTATTTCCTTGAGCAGTGGTTTGTAGTTCTCCTTGAAGAGGTCCTTCACATCCCTTGTAAGTTGGATTCCTAGGTATTTTATTCTCTTTGAAGCAATTGTGAATGGGAGTTCACCCATGATTTGGCTCTCTGTTTGTCTGTTGTTGGTGTATAAGAATGCTTGTGATTTTTGTACATTGATTTTGTATCCTGAGACTTTGCTGAAGTTGCTTATCAGCTTAAGGAGATTTTGGGCTGAGACGATGGGGTTTTCTAGATAAACAATCATGTCGTCTGCAAACAGGGACAATTTGACTTCCTCTTTTCCTAATTGAATACCCTTTATTTCCTTCTCCTGCCTGATTGCCCTGGCCAGAACTTCCAACACTATGTTGAATAGGAGCGGTGAGAGAGGGCATCCCTGTCTTGTGCCAGTTTTCAAAGGGAATGCTTCCAGTTTTTGCCCATTCAGTATGATATTGGCTGTGGGTTTGTCATAGATAGCTCTTATTATTTTGAAATACGTCCCATCAATACCTAATTTATTGAGAGTTTTTAGCATGAAGGTTGTTGAATTTTGTCAAAGGCTTTTTCTGCATCTATTGAGATAATCATGTGGTTTTTGTCTTTGGCTCAGTTTATATGCTGGATTACATTTATTGATTTGCGTATATTGAACCAGCCTTGCATCCCAGGGATGAAGCCCACTTGATCATGGTGGATAAGCTTTTTGATGTGCTGCTGGATTCGGTTTGCCAGTATTTTATTGAGGATTTTTGCATCAATGTTCATCAAGGATATTGGTCTAAAATTCTCTTTTTTGGTTGTGTCTCTGCCCGGCTTTGGTATCAGAATGATGCTGGCCTCATAAAATGAGTTAGGGAGGATTCCCTCTTTTTCTATTGATTGGAATAGTTTCAGAAGGAATGGTACCAGTTCCTCCTTGTACCTCTGGTAGAATTCGGCTGTGAATCCATCTGGTCCTGGACTCTTTTTGGTTGGTAAACTATTGATTATTGCCACAATTTCAGCTCCTGTTATTGGTCTATTCAGAGATTCAACTTCTTCCTGGTTTAGTCTTGGGAGAGTGTATGTGTCGAGGAATGTATCCATTTCTTCTAGATTTTCTAGTTTATTTGCGTAGAGGGTGTTCAAAGCAGTGTGTAGAGGGAAATTTATAGCACTAAATGCCTACAAGAGAAAGCAGGAAAGATCCAAAATTGACACCCTAACATCACAATTAAAAGAACTAGAAAAGCAAGAGCAAACACATTCAAAAGCTAGCAGAAGGCAAGAAATAACTAAAATCAGAGCAGAACTGAAGGAAATAGAGACACAAAAAACCCTTCAAAAAATCAATGAATCCAGGAGCTGGTTTTTTGAAAGGATCAACAAAATTGATAGACCGCTAGCAAGACTAATAAAGAAAAAAAGAGAGAAGAATCAAATAGACACAATAAAAAATGATAAAGGGGATATCACCACCGATCCCACAGAAATACAAACTACCATCAGAGAATACTACAAACATTATAAATTTTTGTAACGGAATATATATCAAATATCAGTTGAGTGTGAAACTGATTGCTACATGATAATTAATTTTAATAAAAGTTGGTTCTACAGCTTTTTACCCACTTTGAAAATATGAAGTAGATTCCTTGGGATTTTCTATGTAGATTATTCTATTATCTATCAAAAATATTTGTATCTCTTTCCAATTTGTATGCTTTTGATTCGTTTTTCTTGACTTATTTCATGGGCCTGCACCACCAGTACAATATGGAGTAGTTGTTAATATTGAGTTAAGGGCCTTTGCATGTAAGGTTGTAAGCAATACTCGTCTGTAGTTTTCCATCTTCCTTTTCTTCTTTTTTGAAATGTCTCGCTGACTTTTGTTTCACGGTAATGCTGGACTCAAAATATTAGTTGAAAAATATTTTCCTTTCTTCTATTTTCTTATAACATTAGTGTACAAAGTATATTTTTTCTTCCTTACTTTGTAGAATTCATGATAAATGTGATCTGGGACTGGATTTTAAGCTATGTATATGGTTATAAACTTTGAACTCAATTTCTTTTAAAGATATAGAAATGTTAATTAGAGTATTTATTTCTTCTCTTGTGAATTTTATCAGTTGGTCCTTTCAATAAATGTATTTAATTTACTTAATCTATGTTATCAAGTTTATTGGCATTTTTATTTATAATAGTCCCTTATGGTTTTAGTATCTGTTGGAACTTTGTTGGTAATACCTCTTTCATTTTTAATATTGGTAATTTCTGTTTTTTTTCTTTTAAAAAACCAGTATGACTAGAAGTTTATCAATTTCATTGATCTTTTTCTGGTTTCACTTAGTTGTTTTCCTAATTTAAATATAATTGGTTTCTGCTCTTATTTAATAATTCTTCCTTCTGCTGACTTTGGGTTTTAATTTGCTCTTCTTGTTTTTATTTTTTTCAGCATATTAGGTCACTGATTTGAGAATTTTATTTTTTTAATATAGGAAACTAGAGTTATAAATTTATCAACCATAACTGTATCTCACAAAATTTTGTTTTGTTTTCAAAATATTTATTTACAAACCAAAGTACTTTTTAATTTTCTTTATGTGTTTTTTAAATTTGGCCACATGTTATTTGGAAGTACGTTTTATAATTTTTAAATTTTTAAAGATTGCTCAGGCCAGGCCAGTGGCTCATGCCTATAATCCCAGCACTTCAGGAGCCTGAGGCGGGTGGATCATCTGATGTCAGGAGTTCGAGACCAACCTGGCCAACATGGTGAAACGCCATCTCTACTAAAGAAATACAAAAAAATTAGCCGGGCATGATGGCTACTCAGGAGGCTGAGGCAGGAGAATCGCTTGAACCCGAGAGGCGGAGTTTGCAGTGAGCCAAGATTGCACCAGTGTACTCCAGCCTGGGCGACAGAAGGAGACTCTGTCTCAAAAAACAAAACAAAACAAAACAAAACAAAACAAAACAAAACAAAACAAAACCAGACCAAAAAAAACCCAGATTGCTCATATATTGGGGTTATTGATTTCTAGTTTAATTTCATCATGATCAGAGAATACTCTTTGTTTGATTTCAATCTTTTGAGAACTTTTTACATTTCCAAATAGGGTCTCTATCTTGCTATATATTCTATGTGCAATTGAGAAGCGTGTGTATCTGCTGTTGTTGGATGAATTATTCTATAAATGTAAATTAGGATATGTTGATAGTGTTGCATAAATCTTCCATACTCCTGGTGATTTTTTGTATAGCTGATCTATCAATTCTTGAGAGGGGAGAGCTGACAATGTCAACAATAATTGTGATTTTATCTATTTCTCCTTTAAATTCTATCAGTTTTTGCTTCATGTATTGAAGCTCTGTTACTGGTTGCATATACATTAAGGATTGTTATAACTTTCTAACTATTTTTTGTTCTGAGTCTACATTGTCCCATTTACTGTCTTTTTTTTGAGACGGAATCTCACTCTGTCACCCAGGCTGGAGGACAGTGGCATGATCTTGGCTCATTGCAACCTCTGCCTCCCAGGTTCAGGCGATTCTCCTGCCTCAGCCTCCCAAATAGCTGGGATTACAGGTGCCCACCACCACACTTGGCTAATTTTTATATTTTTTGTAGAGACGGGGTTTCACCGTGTTGGCCAGGCTGGTCTCAAACTCCTGACCTCGTAATCTGACCGCCTTGGCCTCCCAAAGTGCTAGGATTACAGGTGTGAACCACCGTGCCTGGCCTGCTATCATTTTATTATGCTGCATTTTATTATAGTTAGCAGATAGTTGAGATTTTAACAATTTAAAATTAAAGGTTTTGGGAAACTCTGTATTGAGAAAATCTGTCAGGGCCATTTTTTCCAACAGCATGTGCTGATTTTGTGTCTCTGTGTTACATTTTGGTAATTCTTACAAAATTTCAAACTTTTTTTATTATTATACCTATTGTGGTGATCTATGATCAGTAATTTTTTATGTTACTATTGTAATTGTTTTGGGGGTGCCATAAATTATGCTCATATAAGATGTCAAACTTAATAGATAAATGTGGTATGTGTTCTGAATGCTCCACCCACTGGCCATTTCCCTGTCTCTTGCCCTCTGCTCAGACCTCCCTATTCCCTAAGATAAAACAATACTGAAATTAAAGCAATGAATAACCCTACAGTGTCATGTAAGTGTTCAAGTGAAAGGAAGAGTAACATGTCTCTCACTTTAAATCAAGGCTAGAAATGATTAAGCTTAGTGAGAAAGGCATGATGAAGGCCTGTAAAAATAACAAGAAAGTGAAACAGCCCTATGGAGAAACTTTTACTGATCTGCTTAGAAGATCAAACCAGCCACAATGTTCCTTTAAGCCAAAATCTAATCCAGAGCAAGACCCTAACTCTCTTCAGTTCTGTGAAGGCTGAGAGAGGAGAGGAAGCTGAAGAAGAATTTGAAGCCAGCAGAGGTTGATTCAAGAGGTTTAAGTAAGAAGATGTCTCCATAACATAAAGTGCAGGGGGGAAGCACTTGTGATGGAGAAGCTGTAACAAGTTATCCGGAAGATCATTTTGATATAACTGATGAAGGTGGTTACACTAAACAACAGATTTTCAGTGCTTATATTGGAAACAGGCTTATATTGGAAAAAGATGACACTAGGATTTTTATAGTTAGAGAAGAGAGATCAATGCCTGGCTTCAATTCTTCAAAGGATAGGCTCTCTTGTTAGGAATTAATCCAGTTAGTGACTTTGAGTTGAAGTCAATGCTCATTTGCCATTCCAAAACTTCTAGGGCTCTTAAGAACTATGCTAAATATACCCTGCCTCTGCTTTATAAAAGGAACCACAAAGTCCAGATAACAGTACATCTGTTTACAGCATGGTTTGCTGAATATTTTAAGCACACTGCTGGGACCTACTGTTCAGAAAAATAAAATTCCATTCAAAATATTACTGCTCATTGACAATGCACTTCGCCACTCAATAGCTCTAATAGAGACACACAAAGAGACTAATGTTGTTTTGGACTGGCAGAGGCAGAAGTGAAGAAGGTGAAAAGGGAGGTAGGAGGGGCAGGAACGCTCAATGTAACTTTATGAAAATACATTAACCTTTTGCTTTTTAATTTCTCTAAAAATATTTCCATATGGTACCAATTAATCTTTCACCATTTACTTCATTTCAGTGTCCATATAATAGAAGGGCACATGTTATAAAAGAAGATAAAAACAGTCTTGAATAATTGGGACCCTTCTGCCAGATTATTTAATGTCAATTTGTTTTCTGGCACTGCTTCTTCTGTCTTCTTCCTCATCATCTGGCACTGGTTTGGAAGCACTCATCTCCATCAAGTCATCTTCTGTTAATTCCTCTGGTATAATGTCTATTAGAACTTGAATTTCTCTGAGATCCGTACAATGAAACCCTTCACTCCCCAATTTTTACCGTATCTACAATCTCTTTCATAATTTCATTGATTGGTATTGTTGTAAATCCTGTGAAGTCATGTACAACATCTGGACACAGTTTGCTCCAGTTGGAATGTATTGTTTTAAGATTGATGGCTTCCATGGCCTCTTCTAGAACAATGATAACAAGCTCAATGGTGTAATCTTTTTAGACTGTCATGTTGTTCTCTCTGTCAGTGTTTTCTTCCTTAGCATTGACAATCCTTTCCATAGAGTACAGTGTGTAATTGATAGTGATAGGAGACAGAGAAATTCTAGGCAGAAACTCAAGCCAAAAACCTTGAAACAGTGGTCCAGAGTGAGAATTTACACCCTGTTTTCCCACTCGAATGTTGCCTGTTTCAAAACCACCCATGGCCTTGCCTTTCCTCATCCTGTGCCTATAAAAATCCCCTATTCAGCTAGCAGAGAGAGGAGAAGCAGCTGGACATCAGAGACTATATCTGGACATCAGAGAAAAGCAGTTTGACTTCAGAGGACAGCTTGATGGCGTAACTTCAGAGAAGAATCTGGCTGGAGATGGCCAGATTGCAGGGGTAGATTACCTTCTCAACCCATCCCCTTTTCAGCTCCCCTTCCCGCTAAGAGCAACCTCCATCAGCAATAAAACACCCACATTTATCATCCTTCAATTTATTCATGGAACTTAATTTCTCCTGGATGCCAGACAAGAACTCAGGAACCATGAGTGCAGATGCAAAAGGCTGTCACATTGACCCTTTGCCCTCACTGGTGGAAGGCAGCTTCACATGAAAAGGCAGAGAGTTGTGAGAATAAAATAAATCTTGGGGCCCCCAAATCACTAAACTAAAGGGAAAAGTCAAGTGGTAACTGCTTAGGGCCAACCTGCCTCCCATTCAATTCAAAGTCACCACTCTGCTCACTGAGATAAATTCATATCTATTTGCCTCCTTTGGAAAGGCTAATCAGAAACTCCAAAGAATGCAACCATTTGTCTCTTATCTACCTATGACCTGGAAGCTCCCTCCTCTCTTGGAGTCTTCCTGCCTTTGCTTCTAGTTGTCCCACCTTTTCAGACCAAACCAATGTTCATCTTGCATATGTTGATTGATGTCTCTTGTCACCCTAGAATGTATAAAACTGGACTGTGCTCTGACCGCCTTGGACTCATGTTGTCAGGCCCTTCTGAGGCTGTGTCATGTGTGCGCATCCTCAACCTTGGCAAAATAAACTTTCTAAATTGACTGAGACCTGTCTCAAATTTTCAGGGTTCATGGGGTCCATTGAGCTATTAACACTTGTGCTGTCTGTGAACAACAGAGCTAAAGGAGCACTGTAACAGTCCCGCTGGGGCTTCAGGCATCGTAGGCGCCCCCCACCAACCCACCCACAAGATGGCATGGTAGGACCTGCACAACGTTCACACCTGCTGGCGCCCAAAAGTGCTCGCTGTGGCTCCAGCACCTGGTCACTTGCATGCTGCCTCCCATGAGGGGTGGAGCACAGTGGGTCCAAGTGAGTGGAGTTCACCCCTGCCAAAATGGCCTAGTTTCAGTGCCGTGCACTCCAGTTCCTGCCTTGTTTGCTTGCGCATTCCTTTCCTGCAAAAAGTTGAGAGCTGCCAGATGAGTAAATGAGTCACCCACTTCGTGAGTCCCACAAGGGGGTCAGGGAAATATCCTCGTTCATAATGATCCTTAAAAGTCCTTATACCCTCCTAATCTTGAGGCTGAATTGGAGACGTGCTTGGGGACAAGTAGACCACTTTGATGCCGTTGCTGTACAACTCATGGGGTTCTGGGTTTCCAGGGGTATGGCCTAGTGTGAAACAAATTTTAAAGGGCAGACCAGTACTGATAAGATACTTCTTGACTTCAGGAACAAAGCATCAATGGGACCAATATAGAAAAAAGGTTATCATTGTCCAGGCCTTCTTGTTCAAGCAGAAGACTGGCAGTTAGTGTTTAATCTTTCTTCTTCAAGAGTCAGTGATTAGCAGATTTATAGACAAGGGTAGTCTTAATTATAAACCTGACTGCATTTGCACAAAATGGTAGTTACCCTAGCCCATGCTGTCTTAATTTCTGGTACTCACTTCTCTTTCTTACTAATAAATGTCCCTGTTTTATTTTTTATTTAACAAAATAGGACACATTTGTCTGCATTCAAAATCTGTTCAGGCAGATGTAATTTCTCCTCAACAATTTTTCTAATGGCATCCTATTGGTTGGCAGAAGTTGTTTCTCATGTTATCTCTGCAATTTTTAAGCCATACCTCCTTCTAAAATTATCAAACTGTCCTTTGTTGGCATTAAATTCTCCAGCTTTAGATTGTTCACCATTTCTTTTGCTTTAAGTTATAATATAACCACTTTTTATTGAATAATAGGGAGCTATAGAGTCTATTGGCATGTCTTTATCAGAGCAATTCTGCACCCATATATAAGCTGCATTTAAAAAAAGATATTTTGCAAAAAGTGCACTTTTTATGCCTGCTGTTGTAGCTACAGCGATGACTTTATCAATCTCCTTTTCTCTTTTTACAGTGATGCTTATACTGGATTCATTTATCTTGAAGTGGGCAACTGCAGCTGCAGACCTCAGTCTATGTTACATATCAAGCAATTCAACTTTTTTTTCTTGTAATGTCATAACTTTGCCCCTTGAGAACACTGCCAGCATCACTAGTGGCATTTCATTTGTGCTCCATGGTGTTATTCAAGGTTTGCGCTATTGTCCTAAACACAATGAAAAATATGCAAGTGTTGCAGAAGATCACTTTTCACTGCATTATGTAATTTATTGGAGCGATGATTAGTATTATGCAGCATTTTAAGTGGATACTCGCAACACTTGAGCTCATCGCAATAACAGCAGGAATTGGCTATACAATTACAGTAGTATAGTATGTACTATACTTAATTTTAGGCTGTCATAATTTAATATGGCATCTTTAGATTTGTTCACATTTCTCCGAACTATAAATCTTGTCATATATGGTCTGCATGTATGTACATTTTGATAAATTCTGTTTGATGACAAATTGATATATATTTTGTGGTAGTAAATAATACAGCAGACTAGCATATATATATATACATTTTATGAACTTATGACATACATAACTTTTTCTTGATTTTTTTTATCCCTAGTCCACATAGTTCATTTGCAAGTTTTTTTCAAATTGTTGCAAACTTCCAGAAAATTTTCACTTCTGTCTCTCTCTCTCTGTATATACACATTTAAATCAGCTTATAAATCGACCCACATAGTTCAAACCTATGTGGTTCAAAGGTCAAATATTTCCCTTTCTCTGCTGAAATTCCCTAATTTTCTAGATTTTGTTTATCTTTTTTAGTAGAAGGGTTTTGCTTATACCTTTCCCACATGAACAATGGATCTTAGAATGAATCTTTTGGGTGAGAGAGTTTGTTGCCCTTCTTTCAGAGACTTGAGTTTTATTCTTTCTAGAAGGAAAGGATTCAGGGAAGCACATAGATCTCTGTGTCTTTTCCATAGCAAGCATTAATCACCTCCTGAAGTCCTGCGCCACAATATAAGTCCGTATCTCTTGTTCTGCTCCTGATCTTTCTTACAATCACCTGGAGGAGGGCTTGGAAAAGAATCAATGAGTGGGTGCAGACTGTTCTAGTTTCTGGGCTTTCAGGTATCCTAATCTGACATGTTAGCACACACTTGGTCTTTAGAAATTTATTGAAAATTTTATTTTATTTTTTTTCTTACCCACTTTGATGGCTACCATTTTTTCTTTCTGTGCCCTTTCATGTGTGAAAAAGTTCACTGGACTTATCTCTCCCAAAAAAACTTGGAAATTTTGAAATTCAGTTTCCTTGCAACCTCAGGTACACTTTAAGCTCAAAAAATAAAAAGTAACATTATATAGATTCTACACATTGTTAGGTGGGAATAGTGTTCTGTTGTGGCTTTCTACATCCAAGGAGAAAAAAAAAAACTTCATATTTCTTTTTCAGTGTTTTTTTGCAGCTGTTTATTTTTCATATTCTGAGTTTTGTTTATTGTTTTTCTTTTATTCATAATTTTTTACATAGATTTGTCTGTTATGTATATTTTCAAAAATTGTTAAAATTGATTTTGTTATAATTTATATTGTTTTTCTCTATTTATTTCAATGATTTCTGCTCATACCTACATTATTTATTCTTTTATTTTAAATTTTATATTCATTAGATTGCTCTGCTTCCAGTTTTTAATTTTTATTTTTTTAATACATGTATTTTAGTAAAGTTCTAACTACTGCTTCAGCTATTTACCACAGATACTGAAATGCAGTGTTTGTATTATATTCAATTTTGGTCCTAATTTTTATTTAAATGTTCATGAGACATTGCTTTTTACCTTAGAGATTATGGGCTTATGGTACTTTTAAAAATTTGAATATAACTTATTTCTTATTTCATGGCATTTTCTTATAAAATCTCTATGCTATTATGTTTGGAAGTTTGAGTCATCACTAGTTATCTAAGACATGGTAAATTTTTTAAGTATTCCACATATGTCTAAAAGAAAATAACATAATCTATTTCTATAGTTTTACAAATTATTTCACTTAGTATGTTACTTGAAATTTATGTAAGAAAGTTAGATGAATAAGATATTAGGACCCTTATTGTATAGATAATAAAATGTGAACTCAAGAACTCAAGTGCTTTATAGAATTCCATTCAGCGTGTAAATATTAAAATGATGAATAAAATCAAGTCATTCAATTCACTTACAATTCAACATTAGTTCTACTATACCAATTACTACTTTGAAATTAGAGAAGGCCAAACTCTGAGTGGATAAGCTATAAATTAAAATGTTATAGGACATCAAGAGATCTCATATCTCAATAAAATTTAAATTAGATAAAAATTATCATTTTTGTAAATTATTCTTGCTAGGTATTTTAACTGCAGAATTTCAGGTATCTTATAGAGGGGGCTAAAGCATTAAAAAATAATTAGGGTTATGTGACCTCTACGGGATTTTTGTGCCCTGAGACACTATGATTTTAAGAACGAGGATATTCTAACTACACATTTTTTTCTAATTAAAGTGGTTATCTAATATCAGCCATTTTCTCTTATTGGTTTGAAAATGTTAACATGGTATAGCTTGCAATTTAACACTTTAAATTTTAACTATTGATGTTAAATTTTGATGTTGTATCTGTTGCTGGATTACAATCTTTACAAATAAAGCAATATTTAGAATGATTGCTTTATTTGAATTTAATGCTGTACTTTTAAAGTCTTGAAGCCTCCTTCTGCACTGTAGCAACAATATTTCAGAATAAGTTTTTCTTCCTACCATTATCCCCATGATGAATATCCCAGCAAATTTATTTCTTTCACGTATTTGTAAACAAATTTTTCAAGCACCATGTCTATGATTCTCTATAAAAATGACCCTAAATGCAAGACACTCAACAAAAAAATTTTAAGAAATATATATTTTAAATAGATGTAGAAAACCAAGGTTTCATACCTCAAAATAATAACATCCATATATGATAAACCCTCATCCAATGTCATACTGAATGGGCAAAAACTGGAAGTATTCCCATTGAAAACTGGCACAAGAAAAGGGTGCCCTCTCTCACCACTCCTATTTAAGATAGTATTGGAAGTTCTAGCCAGGTCAATCAGGAAAGAGAAAGAAATAAAGCGTATTCAAATAGAAAGAAAGGAAGTCAAACTATCCTTGTTTGCAGATGACATGATACTATATCTAGAAAATCCCAATGTCTCAGCCCAAAAGCTTCTTAAGCTGATAAGCAGCTTCAGCAAAGTCTCAGAATACAAAATCAATATGCAAAAATCACAAGTATTCCTTTACACCAACAGGCAAGCTGAGAGCCAAATCATGAATAAACTCTCGTTCACAATTGCCACAAAAAGAATAAAATACCTACGAATACAGATAACAAAGGAAGTGAATGATCTCTTCAAGGCAAACTACAAACCACTGCTCAAATAAATCAGAGAGGACACAAACAGATGGAAAAACATTCCATGCTCATGGATAGGAAGAATCAATATTATGAAAATGGCCATACTGCCCAAAGCAATTTATAGATTCAATGCTATTTTCATTAAACTATCATTGACAGTCCTCACAGAACTTAGAAAACACCATTTTAAAATTCATGTGGAACCAAAGAAGCACCTGAATAGTCAAGCCTATCCTAAACAAAACAAAAACAGCTGGAGACATCATGCTACCTTACTTCAAATTGTACTACAGGGCTACAGTAACCAAAACAGCACAGTACTGATACAAAAACAGACATATAGACCAATGAAACAGAAGAGAGAACCCAGAAATAAGACCACACACCGACAACCATCTGATCATCAGTAAACCTGAACAAAACCAGCAATGGTAAAGGATTCCCTATTTAATAAATGGTGCTGGAAGAATTGGCTAGCCATATGCAGAAAATTGAAATTGGACCCCTTCCTTACATCATGTACAAAAATCAACTCAAGATAAGTTAAAGACTTAAGTGTAAAACTCAAAACTATAAATACCCCAGAAGAAAACGTAGGCAATACCATTTAGGAGATAGGCATGGACAAAGATTTCATGACTGATATGCCAAAAGCAATTGCAACAAAGCCAAAATTGACAAATGGGCTCTAATTAATATAAAGAGCTTCTGCACAGCAAAATAAACTATCATCGGAGTAAACAGACAACCTACAGAATGGGACAAAATTTTGTCAATCTATCCATCTGACAAAAGTCTAATATCCAACATCTACAAGGAACTTAAACAAATGTACAAGAAAAAAACAAACAACCCCATTAAAAAGTGGACAAAGTGCATAAATAGACACTTCTCAAAAGAAGACATGTAGCCAACAAACATGAAAAAAAGTCTCAACATCACTGATCATTAGAGAAATGCAAATGAAACCCACGATGAGACACCATCTCACACCAGTCAGGATGGCTGTTTTTAAAAACTCAAAAAACAACTAATGCTGGTTAGGCTGTAGAGGAAAGAATGCTTTTACACTGTTGTTGGAAGTGTAAATTACTTCAGCCATTGTGGAAGACAGTGTGGTGATTCCTCAAAGATCTAGAGGCAGAAATACCATTTGACTCAGCAATCTCATTACTGGCTATACACACAAAGGAATATGAATCATTCTGTTATAAAGATAAAGGCACACATATGTTCATTGCAGCACTATTCACAATAGCAAAGATATGGCATCAACTTAAATGCCCATCAATAATAGACAGGATATAGAAAATGTGGTACATATACACCATGGACTACTACGCAGCCATAAAAGGGAATGTCATCATGTCCTTTGCAGGACATAGATGGAGCTGGAAGCCATTATCCTCAGCAAACTAACACAAGAATAGAAAATCAAATTACCGCATATTCTCATTTATAAGTGGGAGCTGAATGATGAGAACACATAGACACATGGTGGGGAACAATATACACTGGGGCCTGTTGGAAGGTAGGGGATGAGAGGAAGGAGAGCATCAGGAAGAATAACTAATGGATGCTGGGCTTAATACCTAGGTGATGGGATGATCTGTGCAGCAAACCACCATGGCACATGTTTCCCTATGTAACAAACCTCCACATCCTGCACATGTATCCCTGAAGTTAAAATAAGAGTTGGAAATAAAAAAAAATAAAATAAAAAGAAAATCAAGTTTCCTCATCCAGAAGGTATGTATTCCCAAATAAATCAATTACTGTTAATAAGCCAAACTTTGCTTAACCAACAAACGAAGAATTTGTTTTGACATAAATCTCATTTTATCAATAAAAATGAAAATTATTACCAAAACAGGAATGTTCAAAAATTTATAAGGCATTAGTTTAAGACATTACTGTGGCCCTTTTGTTGAAGGCCTCAGGCAAAGTGTGGAATTCCTTGGGTTGAAATGTATTCTTTCAGTTCAACTCCTTCAATTAAGAAGAGATTTATGTTTGTCTTGTCACTCAAAAAAATTTACAGACTAACATACAGTAACACGGACTTTTTTCTTGGTGTATAGTTCTGTGAATTTTAACAATTATGTTGATTCTATAACTACCATCCAATAATTTTAACACTCCTAAAATTTTCCTTTGTCATGCCTTTATAGTTACACTTTTCTTCACCAGGAGTCACTGGCAACCACTGATCTGTTCTCTATCATGATAGCTTGGTCTTTAAAAAAGTTTCATATGAATATAGTCATATAGTGTGTGACCTTTTGAGACAGCCTTCTTTTACACAGTACAATGGCTTTAATCCACACTATTCTGAGTATTATCAGTGTTCGCTGTGTTTAGTATTCTAAATTCTGTGCTAGTATTCCCTTTGTGGATTTACTGTAGATTACCTATTTAGGTTTTCAGAGACATTTGGATAGTTTTCAATTTTAGCAATTATCAACAAAGCTACTATCAACATTCATATATAGGTTTTTGTGTGAACATGTTTTTTTTCTTTTTTGTTTTTATTTTTAAAATTTTCTAGGGCTAATACCCAGAATTGCTAAATCATAGAACGAGTGTATGCCAAATATTTTCCAGAATGGCTGTATCATTTTGCATGCCTGGCAAGTATGGATTAAAGTTCTAGTTGCTTCAGTTCTTCACCAAGACTTGGTATTGTCAGCTTGTTGTACTTTCACTATTCTAATAGGTGTATAATGCTATGGGATTGTGGTTTCAATTTATATTTCACTTTTGGATAATGATGTTGAACATCTTTTTATATGCTTTTGGCCATCTATATGTCCTCTTTAATAAGCATGTTAAAAGGTATTTGATATCCCATCTCAACATCATGGCACTTTAAAGATCTTAATCCTAGGTATTTACACAAATGGATTAAAATTTAAGATGGGAGGAACTTTCTGAATAACAGCATGAAGAGCACCACAGACCCAGTCTCCAGGAAAACAGTTGAAAATTAATTTTTTTAAAAATTTAAGCTCTAGAAATGTTTCTAAGGGCATACAGCTCATGAAGATACAGTGATCCCTTGGTATTAATCGAAAACTTGTTTCAAGGCCACCATAGATATGAATGCTCAAGTCTCATATAAAATGAGGCAGTATTTGCATATAACCTATGCTCATCCTCTCATACAATTTAAATTATCACTAGATTACTTATGATAACCTAATACACTGTAGATACTATGTAAATAGTTGTTATAATATATTGTTTAAAAGCTAATGACAAAAATATACCTCTGTATATATTGAGTACAAATGAAACCATCCTTTCTCCCCCTGCTGAATATTTTCTAACCACATTTAGTGGAATCTGTAATTCAGAACCCATAGGTTCTGACTGCATATTTGTTTAAGAAACTATACTAACATTTCTTAATAACAGTAAGAGTCTGTAGTATTTGAGCTGACATTCACTCCCTCCCTTCCCCATGCCGACTCAGCATGACAGAAATTCCATTCCAAACTGGTGCAGTCAAGAACAGGGTTCCCTCTTTCCCTTTTTGTATGCTACCAGTTCAAGGGCTGTATTTTGGAAATCGGCAGAATATCAGAATTTCTCATCCTGTTCTCAGCTACCTGCTACTGAGATAAAATTCCTGGCTATTACAACTGAGAGAGGGGGCTCCCTTCTTCTGTTCAGACACTACTTATGAGAGGAAGGCTCTACCTCTTCAAAGCATCGCCAAGAATACTGGGGCCAGGTTGCCCTTGAACTTGCTCATAAGGTGAAGCTTGTAAGATGGCCCTTCTATTTTGGAAGAGGCAAGCCAAGAAGATCTAGTGATATGGACAGGAGGCAGGAAAATACTGGGTAGAAGAGGTTGGTTCTCTGGCAAAGGTCTCACCCTCAAGCCTGGAAACTCACAGCCCTAAATAGGAAAAAGCATTCCTGTTTTCATTCCCAAGTGTTGCCTTTTGGCCTGCCATGCCCCTGATCCTGTACCCAAATTAACCCCAAACCCCAGGCTCCATGAGCAGAAGAGCAGAGAAGCAGAAGAAGGAGCATCTGAACATCAAGAGGAGTTCGACTGGGGATGGTCAGAGAGGAGATTGGCCATGGGATGACTGAACTCCAGGGGAAGATCATCTTCCCACTCCATCCTCATCCACCTCGCTAAGAGCCACCTCCATTCGGCAATAAAATCCCCCACATTTACCATCGTTTAGTTTGTCTGTGTGACCTGATTCTTCCTGGACACTGGACAAGAACCCTGGTACCAAGAGGCAACTGAGCTGGTTAACACTTAAGTGTCTGTGGATGGCAGAGCTAAGGGTTTAACACACCCACGGGGGCTTTGGAATTTGCAGGCACCCACCCCTAGACTCTACCACGGAGCCAAAGTCTAAAAGTGCTCACCCTGGCTCCTGCACCTGCCCATCTGCATGATCCCCCTCCTGTAAGGGGTTTGAGTGTGCAGTGGTCTAACAGACAAGACACCCGTCTGTTGCACATCCTGTGAATGGGACCAGGGAACTCTCCCGTTTCACTAGGACTACTGCCCCACCTCCACCATCACTTGTGAAGTGAAGGCAGCACTCAGAGAGAAGCATAGCACTGTCTCAATTTCCAGCTCTATAGCCACAGCCCCAAAATGTTGCCTGGATGGGGAGAAACAGGCCTTGAAACAGCTCTAAATTTCTTATCAAAAGAACTGATGTCATTTGCAACAGAGTGTGGAGGAGCTCAAGTCTAAGGATACTCTCAACAACAGTAGAGGTTGTAGTAAATAACAAAATGGGTAGATTATTTGGAGATAGGGACTAAACTTCAGGCTGGCTAGTTTGCCTGAGAAAACCCAGGGTAAGAACAAATCTTAAACACTGACCTCAAAAACTATCCCTTCAAAAGAGCCCAAATTTGGTTGGTTAGTTTATAGAGCCATTTATGTCCCTAGGGCATTATTGTAAATAATAGTGCAATAATCAAGCAGTTAGTGGAGTCTTATAGCTGGGTGTGGTCAGGGAAAGTGACAGTCTTACCAAAACCACTTTTATCCAGACTGACTGATCATACTCAAGACTGTGCCCCATGAGAAGCAACATCAGAGTTTTAACGCAGTCAGGGAAGTGGGGGTGGGGGGAATGGAGGTGGGTCAGAAATTAACTTCACTAAAATACTCCTGGAGGCTGGGCGTGGTGGCTCATGCCTGTAATCCCAGCACTTTGGGAGGCCAACATGGGCAGATCATGAGGTCAGGAGTTCAAGACCAGCCTGGCCAACATAGTGAAAACCCGTCTCTATTAAAAATACAAAAATTAGCCCGGCATGATGGTGCATACCTGTAATTCCAGCTACTCGGGAGGCTGAGGCAGGAGGATCACTTGAACCCGGGAGGTGGAGGTTGCAGTAAGCTGAAACCATGCCACTGCACCCCAGCCTTGTTGACAGATTGAGACTCTGTCTCAAAAAAAAAAAAAAAAAAAAAAAAACCTCCTGGCAATCACTAAACAAATAATCAAATAACAACAATAAATCCCAGAGATAAAAGACAAATATACAAAGTTTCTATAATATATTGTCTAAAATGTCCAGTTCCTAAAAAACATTATGATGCATATAAAGAATCAAGAAAGTATAACCCATTCATTAGAAAAAAGACAGGCAACAGTAATTGCCTGCAAGAGCAAACAGATGCTGGATTTACATTAAAAAGACTTCAAGGTGTTAGGGAAATAGGAGCACAGGAGAGCCAAGGTGATACCATTTTAAAATCAACTTCATCTTAAAACTAGCAAGGCACATTCATTGCCAGTCATGAACCATGATTATAGGATGTTTATGGCTAAAGAAGCAGTTTAGTAATGCCTGCAAGGACAAACTCCTACAACAGCAGAACGTCCAGATATCCTGATATTGCATAACAATATATGCTTTTAAGATAGTTATAGTCATGCTTTGATGTACTTATGCAATAAAATGCCAAGGATGGCTTTCTTTAAATGAACAGAGTACTAAATTTTGTCACACAGTCAGCATACCTGCATGTAGACATAGCTCAGACTTTACACAGATAAGACCCTATATTGTATAAAGCATTTAAAGCAAAGATGGCATATTCCTCTGCCTGCTTTATAAGGATGCCCTACTCTATAACTGAGTAGCTTTCAATAAATGATCTCTTCTCTCTGCACTATGTCATTCTCCTTGAATTCCTGTCTGAAAGAGATTCAAGAACCCTTTCTTGGGGTCTAGATTGGGACACCTTTTTCTAGTAACAAAAGTAACCATTATAATTATGTCCAAGAACAGAAGGAAACCATGATGAAAGAAGTAAATAAAATATAATATAAAATACAAATGAAAATTCTGGAGTTGAAAGTTTAATAATTAAAATAATTTCACTGGAGGTGCTTAACTGTAGATTTGAATTGGCAGAAGAAAGAATTTGTGAACTTGGAGATGTTTGATAGAGATTATGCAATTCAAAAAACACAGAAAAAAAAGGAATAAAGAAAAAGGAACAAAGACTCAGAGTGTGGAACACTATTAACCACAACATACTTGTAATGAGAGTACCAAAAGGAGAACAGATAGAATAAGAAGCAGAAAAAATATTCAAAGAAGTAAAGCTAAAACTTTCCAAGTTTATTGAAAGATGAATGAACACATAATGAACTTCAAGTAAGATAAGCGCAAAGAGATACTCAAATAGAACATCATACTAAAATGCTGAAAGCTAAAGACAAGGAGAAAATTTTACTTTTTATGAAATATCCAGCAAAGGTAAGACAGAAAAGAGATTCGTGATTGCTTAGGGTTGTGGGGAGGGATGTGGGGAGACTGGGAGGTGACTGCTAAAGGGCACAGAGTTTCTTTTTTGAGGTGATAATAATGTTCTAAAATTGTGATGATGGTTGCCCATATCTGCGAATATGCTAAGTACCATATCTGCGAATATGCTAGGTACCATAGAATTGTAGATGTGAAATGGATGAATTTTATACATTTCACATTTTGTGAATTGTATTTCAGTAAAGATGTTTAAAAGTAAATTTGTACAAAGACCTGTACATACATGTTTATGGAAGCTCTATTCATAACCTTGAAAAATTAGAAACAACCAAAATGACCTTTAACAGGTGAATATATAAACAGCCTATTGTTCATCCATGAAATAAAATACTGCTAAAAAAGAAATGAGCTATTGACTCACATGACAATATAGACAATTCTTACAGGTATTTTGCTAAGTGATGGAATGCAGACCTACAAGGCTACATTTTGTATGGCTCCATTTATATGACATTTTATATAGCAAAAGTATAGGAACGTAAAGCAGATTGGTAATCAACAGAAGTTGGGGGTATAGGTAATGGTTGTCTACAAAAAGGCTACATAAGGGGTGTTTTGGGTGATAGAATTGTTCTGTAAGAATTAGTGGACGTACGACTCTATGAATGTATGCAAATCTACTCACTATATGCAGATATATATATATTTCCCATCATGTTGTGAAATTTCAGGCAGAAATGCAGACTGTGACATGTGAATCAAACCTCATTGAAAAGGGTGAAAAAAAACTGGCCAATTTTCAAAAACTGTTTTGACTGAGCCTATAAAGATACTGTATATAAACACTGTCTGCTAATTGGTAATTTTGTTTTTCCCATAAAGATTACAGGTTATCAATTCTGAAACAAATTTACGTGTATACAAGTGTTAAATAATGCATTAAATAATACTGAACATTAAATTATAGATAATGAGATCCAGGTTTCCCATTGACAGAATAAACTTAATATCAAATAAATGCATCTAAAATTCACGATCAAGTTTAGTTACTGAGAAATAAATAGGTAGACAAGCGAGTAATTCTTACATTGCCTTAACATTGATTGACATTTTAGAGAAAAGATCAAGACTTGAAAAAACAATACTTGCCACTATAGGGTTAAGTGTAAAGTTAAAAAAAAAATCAGAGCTAAAGTCTGGGGATACAGAAGATTTTAAAAGAGAAAAACAAGGGAAGAGGTATCTATAACCTATCAACAAATTATTGCTGTTAGTGCTACCATCATATGAAAATATTCTGCAATAGTTTCAAAATACTCTGAAGGAGCAGAAGGCCATATGGTTATTGAACAAGATTAATTCATGCTGTGCCTGTGGAACACATTTGGGAGACCAATCCTTTCACAGAGTTATTAGCTTGTACTGGAGCTAGATGTCTGACATGCTCTAGTGCACATTAGAAATACTTAGAGACCTCCTTGAACAGCTTCTTTCTCTTCTCAGAGACACCCTCCCCTACCTGCCCCAATAGGAGAAGCAAAATGCCATCGTGTAGTGGCTTTACTACCTCTGGACTATGCCAGGAGTTCCAGATGCTTTATAGGACTCTGGGGACTGGGCATACAGCAAACTGTGCTGACTTCCACCAAACCAAGGAAGGCTGCTCCTGCCTGTCAGAGGTCACACTTCGGTGAAGTGTATTGTTAATCAAGTGGCCACCTGTACTTTTCAGTGAGTCATCATCAAGGAAACACTTGTGGATGGAAACATCTTAATTTTATAAGTACTCATTGAAATGTTCTACGACATTTTCAGCCTCCTGTGAACTGGCACCGTTTCTCTTAAATTTGAAGAGCAAAGCATACACAGTTAATAACACAAGGAAAGCAAAGAACACTTAAGAACCGGTGCTCTGCATTCAGGGAACCATATTTCCAACTCCCCTTTCAATCTAATTCTCTTGGAATTACAGAGCTCTTGTAAATATCAAAAGGACCATTTACTTTCTTTGAGGAGAGGAGAAAAGTGCTCAGATGGAGCATCACACTTAGGTACAAAAATCAAAGCCTTCTTATGTTTCAGCTTTTCCATTAAGAAAATAGAAACAGCTGAGAGAATGGCTGTCTTCTGAGGTCTTATTAGTAAAATGCAGAATTCTTTGACCCTTATGGAAGAAAATATGCACATCAATGTGTAAATAAAAGGAAGAAAAATTAGCCATTTATGCAGCCTGCCCAGAATATATCACATTTCACTAGCTAGTGTTAAATAAAATGCTGAAATACAGAGCAGATGTATTCTGGCTTAGCAAAAGAGTTGTGGCATAACATTCAAAAGGACAAAATTTATTCTAACCTTGTAGTGAAGTCAGGAAATTTTTCATTTGTACTATTAAAACACCGTTGAACAATAAGAAATTCCCAGAAAAATAAGAAATTCCCAGTACACACTTAGTTGCATCTTCCTTATTCTCAGACATTTATATATAAATGTTACTAAAAGTTATTTCTTTAAGCCATTGTCCCAAAGGTAAAAGCACAATACACACAAGGCTGTGGAAAGTTGGCCAAGATCTAGTAGTAAGTAGTGATGTTTTGTGTTTCATGCCAAAAACTGGAATTATTGCTGCTATTATAAGAAAGGGGAAAACAAGTGGCAAAGCTTTCTTTGGAAATGAATACATACTGGCTCCAGGGAGGATTGGAAGTCACCAATGCCATCCACGGACAATGTTACACAAAGCAAGCGTATTGAATGAGCCCACCTTTGTAATGGGAGGTAAGAAGACATGTGGGAAAATGCTTTTCAGCACTAGACTACAGCTATATCTGAAATCGAGAACTCAAAGTGTGAGAGAAAGATATCCAGCTATCTGGGGAAACTGTTCCTGTCACTCACTGGAGAGTAGAGCTGGGATGTGCTGGGGAGAGTCATCTTTCCAGCAAAAGAATTGGGATAGAATAATGGGACAAAGTTTTTTAAAGGACTTGTCTGTCCTTTTTACAATTTTGTGAGCAAGCATGAAAAGAGACCTCTGGTTCTGACTAAGGCCTGCCAGAAACCGAAGATCCACAAGAGTTAACAGTAAAACAGGATGGAGTCCTGTTACTTATCTTCCTAAAACTTTATTTCTATGTGTCTGAAGAGTGGCTGTGTTACAAACAAGAAGCTCGCATCTATTTGGGGGCATTTGCCTGATTATATGAAAGAATTGTCAGATGGCGTCCTAAATAATAGAAATACGAAGGCTGTTCCTCTACAATTGCAGAGCCTAATGTTGGCAGGCACATTTATAACAGAGTAGTAAGAAAAATTCAAATCTAAATTTAGAGCATCTAAAGCATAAATTGAATGGAATGTCATTTCTTATTGATCTTTGTCAACCTATATTCTTTTGTGCCATATACATTTTATATCTCTCATTTCTCCCTTTTCCACATCTCATTTTATTGTACTTCTTTTATCTGACTGAAACTGAACCTTCTGTATTATTTGCTGTATTAGTTAGGATTGCACCCAAATTGCATGAGATAACAGTGGCTTTCCCGGATAAGAATTTACTCTGAAGTCTGAAGATAAGTCATAGTGGGCCTATGAAACAGTGTCATGCTCATGATGTCAAAAAATGTCCCCAGCCAGCTTCAATTTTTCTCCCATGCCATCTTTAGCATATGGCTTTCATTCTGTTCATTCCAAGATGACCACTATACCTATATACAACCCATCCACGTGCCAAAAAAGAAAAGAGGGGTGGAGGAGTCAAAAGAAACATGTCAGCTGAGCCTTTATGCTTTTAAAAATGTAAAGACGCTTGCATCTGTTTATAGCACATAGGCCAGAACTGGTTTACATGGTCACCCTATGGGATGGGACTGAGACAAATTGGAATTCTCCTTAGGAAAGAGAAATGGATTTGGGATAGGTAACTACTCTGTGCTTCAGTGACCCTCCAAGTTAATGTTGTGTTTCTGCCCCCCGTTTTATTTACAATTGCACAGTTAGATTGCAATCTGTTCAATCACATCATTGGTTTATTGTACAGCCTTTTTCCAAAAAAGCATTTAAAATACCTGATTCTAACTCAATATAACAGTGATGTTCAAAGTTTATTGTGCATTGGCAGCATGTGGAGGGCTTGCTAAAACACAGATGGTTAAAACTCTGGGCCCTACTCCTAGAGTTTCTGATCCGGGAGGTCTAGAATGAGGTCTAAGAATTTGCACAATTAACAGTTCACAGATAATACTGATGCTGCTGGTCCAAGGGCCACACTTTAAAGAGAGCAGTATTTGGAATTTTACAGGGAGATTTTAGAAAATATAGTTAGATTTCCAAAGCCGAACTTTGGTGGGTCATGCTTTCTACATCTATACAGGTTATGGCATGTTCTTTGCTTATTAAAGAGGCTATGGAAAGGTCCAAAGAATTAATACTTTATATAATATATTATGTTTGATGTTATAAACAATAAATAGTTATACTCAGTGCAAATATTTCAAACAACAGAGAGAGACAAAATGTTTCTGTTGACCACAGACACCAGGCCCAGTCCCTCAATCCCTTCCATAGAGATGACCCCTGTGAACAATATAATATATATTTTTCCAGACTTTTTTAATGCAATTATGCTGTAATAGAATTTATATATACACAATTATGTTAAAATATTGTATAAATGCATGGCATTTAAAATGTAAATGTGTGTCATACTATACACATTTTTGTAGGCTTGCTTTTGTCTGCTTAAAAATATCTTACAATTTTTTCATGAAATAGTTTTTTAGAGTTAGAAATGCAGGCTCTGTAAAATAGCAACATTCAGCAACCTATTATTGAGTGTGGGCTGTATTAATTCTAGAAGTGCAGGCGATATAAGTTGTTATATAAAAAATTTAACAACCATTTTCAGTTCATGTAGTAAATATCTAAGTAAACTTTTTGTGTTTTAACGTATTTCTTTTTAGGTAGGTTTTTTCTTTCTTACACAGGGAAAAATTAGGTAGTTTATCAGTTTTTCCAAAGTTCATGACTATTTGATAACTTGGCAATATAATGAATGTTTAAAATAATATTGATTGCATTTTTATGTTTATAAAAGTGATACATATTTACAATAGCAAATTAGAAACATAAAAGTAAAAAAATTCAATGAAATGGCAGACAACCAAACATGGAGACATATCTAGTATCAATGTTTTACTTTCTTTCTGATACCTATCTAACCTTATAACATACACACATATGGAAATATATATGAATCTATATTTTGAATCATGTCGTTTATACATTGCATTCTCCTTTTTCCACTCACTATGACATCGTGAGAATTTCATGTCATTTAAAAATTCTGGAAGCCTAACAATATTTCTATACTATTCTTTTTTCAAATTTATTTATTATAAAAATTATGTGTAAATTGTATGTATTTATTACGTATAACATAATGCTTTCAAGTGTATATAAATTGTGGAATGGTTAAATCTAGCTAAATAACAAATACATTACCTCACAAAGTTATTTTTGTGATGAGATCAATATCAATATTCTATTATAAAGAGCCTAACTTAACTTTCCTCCTTGCTTATAAACATCTGTTTTGTTTTAAATTTGCCATCCCTGTTTATTGCCATAAACATTCTAATTCATTAGGATTATTTCCATAGGCTAGATTCCTAGTAATTATATTACTAACCTAAAGGATATGAATATACTTAGCCTCTATTACTTATCACCAAATTATCATCTAGTTAATAAGATTTCCTATAATATAATTTTGCCAGCATTAAATATCATTTAAAACCATAAGACAAAGTGCTATTTCGTTGTATTTTACTTTACATATTTTTATCACAAATAATAATTTTTTCAATTGGCAATTTATTTTCTTATTTAGTGAAATGTCTTATTTTCCATTGAAAATTTTGTGTTACAGTATTGATTGGTATGTCTACAATTACATATTATAGTTATTAACTTGTTATTCTTTATATCCCTGAAAATTTTTTGTCTTTTTTCTTTTTTGAACAAAATTAAAGTTATGAATATATTTAGTCAACTTTATGAATATTTTCGTTGTGAATTCATATCTTGCTTTCATACTTAAAAAGTCTAAACATTTCAGCCGGGCATGGTGGCTCACGCCTGTAATCCCAGCACTTTGGGAGGCCAAGGTGGGCTGATCACCTGAGGTCAGGAGTTCGAGAACAGCCTGGCCAACATGGCGAACCCCCATCTCTACTAAAAAAATACAAAAAAATTAACTGGACATGGTGGCACACGCCTGTAGTCCCAGCTACTCGGGAGGCTGAGGCAGGAGAATCACTTGAACCCGGGAGGTGGAGGTCACAGTGAGCCGAGATAGTGCCACTGAACTCCAGCCTGGGCCTCAGAGCGAGACCCTATCTCTCTAAAAAATAAAACAAAACAAAAAGTCTTCAAACATTTCAAAATACATATTCTCCTATATTTCATACTTACGGTTTCTTTTTTCTTTATTTATTTTCTTTTTTTGAGGTGGAGTTTCTCTTTTGTCACCCATGCTGGAGTGCAATGGCACGATCTTGGCTCACTGCAACCTTTGCCTCCTGGGTTCAAGTAATTCCCTGCATCAGCCTCCCAAGTAGCTGGGATTACAGGCGTGCATCACCACACCTGGCTAATTTTTTATTTTTAGTAGAGACGGGGTTTCATCATTTTGGTCAAACTGTTCTGAAACTCCTGACCTCAGGTGATCCGCCCACCTCGGCCTCCGAAAGTGCTAGGATTACAGGTATGAGCCACCGCTCCTGGCCTTTTTTATCTTTCTGTAGATAATTGTTTTATCTTCCAAGAACTAATTTTAATATTAGGTTAACTTTAACATAAAGTATAATATTAGATATTAGGTTAACTTTTTCTTCATTGTTAACCAATTAACAGTATCATTTATTAAGAAATAATTTTATTTGCTATTAATTTGTAATGCAACATTTTAATATACTAAATATATTTAATAGTAAAATTTATCACAATGTCAGTCTGAATCATTGGTTTGTCTCTCTATTCTTGTTGTAGTTTCATATTATTTTGATAATCAAAACAATTGCATTCTCACTAACAGTGTATAAGTGTTCCATTTTCTCCACACCCTCACCAAAGTTTATCTGTCTTTTTAATAGTAGCCATCCTAACAGGTGTGAGGTGGTATCTCATTGTGGTTTTGATTTGCATTTTTTCTGATGATTACTGATGCTAAGCATCTTCTCATTTACCTATTGGCCATTTGTGTGTCTTCTTTAGAAAAATGTCTATTCAGGTCCTTTGCTTATTTTTAAGTCAAGTTGATTTTGTTTTCCTTTTTTCTTCTTTTGCTATTAAGTTGTGTGAGTTCCTTATATATTGTGAATATTTGCCACTTATCAGATATACAGTTTGCAAGTATTTTGTCTCATTTTGTAGGCTACCTTTTCTTTTTGTTGATTATTTCCTTTGTTCTGCAGAAGCTAGTTTTACCTAGTCCTACTTGTTTATTTTTTCTTTTGTTGCCTGTGCTTTTGGTGTCATAGCAAAAAAAAAATTGCCAAAACCAACATCAAGGAGGTTTTCCCCAATGTTTTCTTTTAGGGGTTTTACAATTTCAGATCTTACATTTAGGTATTTAATACATTTTGAGTTAATTTTTGCATATGGTATAAGACAAGAGTCGAACGTTATTACTTTGCATTTGGATACACAGTTTTTCCACCACCACCCACTTATTCATAGTGTATGATCATTTTAATGTGCTGTTGAATTTGGTTTGCTCATATTTTGTCGAATATTTTTGCATATATGTCCATTAGGAATATTGGTCTGTAATTTACTTGTAGTGTCTTTACCTGGCTTTGTTATGAAGATAATACTAAACTTATTTTTCCTCCTCTTTAATATTTTGAAAGAATTTTAGGATTGACATTAATTCTTTAGGTGACTGGTGATATTTATCCATGAAGCCATTTGGTCCTGGACTTCCTTTGTTGGGAGTTTTTTTTGAAATTTTATTTCTTTTTGATACAGTCTTGGTAGTTTGCATGCTTCTAGGAGTTTATTAATTTCTTCTAATTTATCCAATTTGTTGGCATTTAATTGTTCATAGTAGTCTCCTATTATTCTTTGTATTTCTGTGGTATCACTTGTAAAGCGTTTTCTTTCATTTATTTTTATTTATTTGAGTCCTCTATCTTTTTTTATTGGTTAGTCTAGATAAAGTTTTGTCAGTTTTATCTTTTCAAAAAACCAACTGTCAATTTCTTTCATAGTTTTCTTGCTTTTCTAGTCTCTATTTTGTTTATTTCTGCTCTGATCTTTTTATTTCAGTTACTTCTTCTCCAATCTGTATTATTTCTGCTCTAATCTTTGATCTTTGTTCCTTCTGCTAACTTTGAGCTTAGTTTGTTCTTCTTTTTCTTGTTATTTGAGGTGTGCAATTAAGCTAATTATTTGAGTTTTTTTTTTTACATGTAGGCATTTATTACTGTAAACTTTCCTCTTAAAACTTCTCTTTGTTGCATCCTATGTGTTTTGGTATGTTGTGTTTCCATTTTTCTTTCTCTCAAAATACTTTTGATTTGATTTTCCTTTTGACTTTTTTCTTTGATCCATTCATTTTTCAGGAATGTGTTGTCTAATTTTCATAAACTTGTAATTTTTTTTCCTTTTATACGTTGTGGTCAGAAAAGATACTTGATATGATGTCAATCTTCTTAAATTTGTTAGGATTTGTTTTGTGGCTCAAAGTATAATTTATCTTTAAAAATATTTCATGTGCACTTGAGGAAGAATGTATATTCTGATGCTGTTGGATGAAATGCTCTGTATATGTCTGTTAGGCCCATTTGGTCTATAGGGTTATTGAAGTCAGCTATTTCCTTATTGATTTTCTGCCTACATAATCAATCCATTGTTGAAGATGGGGTGTTGAAGTTCCATGCTATTGTTGTTTGCTCTCTATTTCTTCCTTCAATTATGTTAATATGTTTATGTACTCTAATATTAGGTGCATGTATATTTACAATTGTTATATCCTCTTGACAAATTGACCCATTTATCATTATATAGTGACCTGCTTTGTATCTTGAAAGAATTTGAATTTTTTTTGTTTATTATAAGCATGGCAACCCTGCTCTCTTTTGGTTACCATTTGCATAAAATATCTTTTTCCATTCCTTCACTTTCACCCTATGTGTTTCCTTAAGGCTAAAATGAGTCTCTTCTAGTCAGCACATTGCTGCACCTTGTTTTTTATTTATTCGGCCACTTTGTGTCTTTTGATTGGATAATCTAATACATTTACTTTTAAAGTAGTCATTGATAACTATTTGATGTTGACATTTTGTTACTTATTTTCTGAATATTTTATAATTCTTTTGTTCAATTATTTATTTCTTGCTGTATTCCTGTAATTTGTTGATTTTTATAGCGATATGTTTTGATTTATTCCTTTTTTATATTTTGTTTTCCTACTAGTGGTTTTTTTCCTTTGTGGTTACCATGGAGCTTACATAAAATATCTTATAATTATAACTATAATCTATAATTATAACTAATAACTATATCTATTTTAGTCTGGTAACAACTTAAACTTCAGTTGCTGTTTCAATGGACCTTAGTCCCAATACACAATGTTCTTTGGTTAAGCCATGATTTGAGGAGGAAGTCTGTTCTATTTGCTTAGCAGTCATTGACATCAACTTCAGTCATAACATGAGTTATCACTGTCAATGTTGGCCTTGATCACCTCACTAAAGTAATGTCTATCAGATTTCCCCACTGTAAAGTTACTCCTTTTTACTCCCTCTCCCTACTATGTTCTTGGGAAAAACATCAGTATGTGCAGTCCATACCCAAAGAGTGGAGAGGTGGGAATTATGCACACCCTCCTTTAGGGCAAAGTATATTATTCAAGTGATTGTAGATATCCACAAAAATAGTAACTATCTCTTTATACTACCAATATTTTTCAAACTGTATAAAGTGAGAGTTTCTTTCTTCTGTAAAATGAATTTAATCTCTAGTCAGTGAAAAGATTTATGAGCCATAATGATGTTTACAGGATGAAAAACACACAATATGAGGTTCACAGAGAGGAACAAAATGATAAGTGAAAATGTATTAATTGCTTAGACTTGCAGCGTTGTATAAGGGCATGTATTTATGTTTACTTAGCAACATTTGAAAATAAATTATTTTATGAAAATATGAAAGCTACTAAAAGGTCAAAATTTTAAAGAGCGCTAAATATAACTTCAGAATACATCTTTTCCCTGCCTAACTTTTGTTAAGTAGCTAAGAAGAAATTTACTGTTTTTATTCGTATGTGACTGCCATGCCATTAAAACAACGATATTAAAGGCAATTTTTTTATTGTTGTTGTTTGTTTGTTTGTTTGTTTTTTTGAGATGGAGTCTCACTCTCTTGCCTAGGCTGGAGTGCAGTGGCAGGATCTTGGCTCACTGCACCCTCCGCCTTCCGGGTTCAAGTGATTCTCCTGCCTCAGCCTCCCGAGTAGCTGGGATTACAGGCGCCCACCACCACATCTGGCTAATTTTTGTATTTTTCATAGAGACGGGGTTTCATCATGTTGGCCAGGCTGTTCTCAAACTCCTGACCTCAGGTGATCCACCCGCCTTGGCCTCCCAAAGTGCTGGGATTACAGGTGTGAGACACCGCGCCTGGCCAAAAGGCAAATTTTTGAAATTTTTACTGAAATATTACATACACATACAAAGCACAAATTATTGCTTTACAGCTTATCATTTTTTACAAAGTAAATATACCCATGTTATCATCATGCAGGACAAAAATGTTATGTTACCAACTCCACAGAAATCTCCAGTGACTCGCTTTAATTATTACTCCTCAAAAGCAAACATAACCTAACTTCTAACACAATACATTATATTTTCTTATATTTGCACTTCATATAAGTAGAATCATATTGTACATACTGTTTTATGCCTGGCCTCTTTTGCTGAACATTTTATTTTTGAGTTTCAACTATTTTGTAGTGTGAATGTATAGTTCTTTTATTATAACTGCTGCATAGTATGTTATTTGGGAATATACCACAATTTATTTATTCATTCTATTGTTGAATATTTGGGAAGATTCCAGTATTAAGATATTATTAATAGTGTGGGTTCTGTTGTGTGTATGTATGCATTTTTATTGCACGTGTACCAAAGAGTTGAATTGTTGGGTCATAGGGTAGACCTATGTTTACCTTTAGAAGGTAGTGTCAGTATTCCAAAATAAGTATACCGATTTATACTCCAATCAGCAGTGTATGAGAGTGAGTTCTGGTTGCTTCACATTTCCACCAACATTTTTTTTTGGTGAGGACTATCTTTTTCATTTTAGCCATTCTTTTTCATATATGGGGTAAATCATTATTTTAATCTGTATTTTCCCACTAAATAATAAGATATTAATAGATAATATATTTTCAAACATTTATTGGAGATTTAGATATCTTCTTTTGAGAAGAATCTGTTTATGTCTTTTGTCCAATAGTCAAAAAATCTGCCTTTTTCTTATTGACTTATAGAAGTTCTTTATATAATTTTGATGCTAGTCTTTGGTTGGATGCGTTGCATGTAATACATGTTGGATGTAATCTAGTGTATTCCACGTATCTTCTCCCAATACGTAAGCTACATTTACAATTTTTAATGATGGCTTTTAATAGAGAGACACCTTATATCTTAATATAAATGCTTACATACACGCACACTTTATTGTTACTGTTTTCTCATGTCCTTCTTAAGAAATCTTTGCCTAGTCTTAGGTCATGAAGATAACTATCCCTCAATTATTTGGAGATTTAAATTATTTCTCTCTCTCTTTTCTCTCTCTCTTTCATTATGTCATTCTCTCTATACACACAAGCAGTTCTTTCTTTATTATTTATAAATATATAAATATAAGTACTTTTTTTAGTTAAGAAGGTTTGCACACTTCTTATTAGGCTTATTTCTAAGGATTTGATATTTTCGATGTAATCATAAATCTATTAATTATAAACTTTATTCTCTATATATTGCTACTGATATATACATACAAAAATTAATACAGTACATTGAACTATGGAAGTTCTTTATAATTTTGATGTTAGCCTTGCCAGTCATTTCAGACCTATAAAAGTATCAGTTTTATAATATTAAACGTAATGCATTCACCTTGAATCTAGTGACCTGGTTATTTTTGCATATTCATCTTAATAGTCGGTCTGTTGATACTTTGGGGTTTGCTATTTACAATCATGTTGTCGATGAACAATAAGAATATTTTTCTAATTTTTGTTGTATTTTTTATCCTCTTTTAGCTTTATTGAATTGACTAGAATCTTAATGCTAATTTTTAGGTCACTATATTTACTATTACAGCAGATGAATTTTGATTTATGCACAAAAATAAGTGGGGTAAATTAATGATAAAAGAGGGCCATTTTGAGTTTCTGATTTATTACACAGTCAGCAATATTGTGGAGTTTTCAAAAGAATAATTCTGTGAAATGACTGTAGAATCACCACAAGTTCTTTGCATTCTTTTTACATGACTTTGTATAATATGTATGTGTGATGGTTAATATTGAGTGTCAACTTGATTGGATTGGAGGATGCAAAGTATTCTTCCTGGATGTATCTGTGAGGATGTTGCCAAAGGAGATTAACACTTGAGTCAATGGACTGGGAGAGGCAGATCCGCTCTCAGTCTGGGTGGGCACCATCTAATCAGCTGCCAGCACAAAAGCAGGTATGAAAAGAGCAGACTGACTGAATCTTCTGTCCTCCATCTTTCTCCCATGCTGAATGCTTCTTGTCCTCAAACATCAGACTCCAAGTTCTTCAGCTTTTGGACTCTTGGACTTACATTAGTGGTTTGCCAGGGGCTTTTGGACCTTAGACCACAGATCGAAGGCTGCACTGTTGACTTCCCTACTTTGTTTTATTTTAAGTTTTGGGGTACATGTGCAGGATGTGTAGATTTGTTACCTAAAGTTGGGCCATGGCGGTTTGCTGCACCTAACAACCCATCACCTAGATATTAAGCCTCACATGCTTAACTATTTATCCTGATGCTCTCCCTCCCCCTCCCCCCTTGATAGGCTCCCGTGTGTGATTTTCCCTTCCCTGTGTCCATGTGTTCTAATTGTTCGGCTTCCACTTATAAATGAGAATATGTGGTGTTTGGTTTTCTGTTCCATTGTTAGTTTGCTAAATATAATGGCCTCCAGCTTCATCCACGTCCCTGCAAAGGACATGATCCTGTTTTTTTATGGCTGTGTAGTATTCCATAATTTATATGTATCACATTTTCTTTATACAGCCTATTGTTAATGGGCATTTAGGTTGATTCCATGTCTTTGCTATTGTGAATAGTGCTGAAATGAATATATGCGTGTGTGTCTTTATAATAGAATGATTCATATTCTTTGGGTATACCCAGTAATGGGATTGCTGGGTCAAATGGTATTTCTATCTTTAGATCTTTGAGGATTCATCACACGGTATTCCACAATAGTTGAACTAATTTACACTCTCAACAACTGTCTATAAGCATTCCTTTTTCTCCACAACTTTGTCAGCATCTGTTGTTTTTTGTCTTTTAATAATCATCATTCTGACTGGTGTTAGATGGTATCTCATTGTGGTTTTAATTTGTATGTCTCTAATGATCAGCAATGATGAGCTTTTTTCATGATTGTTGGCTACATGTATGTCTTCTTTTGAGAAGTGTCTGTTCATATTCTTTGCCCATCTTTTAATGGGGTTGTTTGATTTTTTTCTTGAAAATTCGTTTAAATTCTTGATTTTTTTCTTGTAAATTTGTTAAATTCCTTATAGATGCTAGGCTTTTGTCAGATGCATAGTGTGCAAACATTTTCTCCCATTCTGTAGGTGTCTGTTAACTCTGTTGATAGTTTCTTTTGCTGTGCAGAAGCTCTTTAGGATAATTAGACCTCATTCGTCAATTTTTGCTTTTGTTGTGATTACTTTTGGCATCTTTGTTGTGAAATCTTTGCCTGTGCCTATGTCCTGAGTGGTATTGCCTAGATTGTCTTCCAGGGTTTTTATATTTTAGGGTTTTGCATTTACGTGTTTACCCTATCTTGAGTTAATTTTTGTATATGATGTGAGGAAGAGGTCCAGTTTCAATTTTCTGCACATGGCTAGCCAGTCATCCCAGCCCAATTTATTGGATAGAGAGTCCTTTCCTCGTTGGTTGTTTTGTCATGTTTGTTGAAGATCAGACAGTTGTAGGTGTGCAGTCTTATTTCTACATTTTAATTGGCTAAATGTCTTGTATCATTTTTAATAACTCCAGTTTTGTTCCCCTTAGGTATGGAAAAATAATATATTATTTAGCTACTTATTAGTCCCTCTCATAGCACCCCACAGCTGTAGAAAATTTAAAGATTATTTACAAAACAATTTCAATATATTATCTTACTTGAATCTTACAATTTTAGGGGTTTTTCAGAAGTTTTAGTATATAAACACATGATATGCACATAATATGACTTTATGAAATAACAGCTAAATAATCTTAACTTTACTACCAACTGGTGGGTCAGACTGTTGACACAATAATACAACAAGCTCTACTGAGCACCTATTGCATACTAGGCATTGTGTAAATTACTGTGGATTAAAGAGATTTTAGGAGATCACAATGTAATGATTCAAGGCTGTTCAGTGGCTGAGTTGGGAAGAGAAATTAGAATTCCCACTAGGCAGAGAATCCCATGGACTAAAATTCCCGTTGCAGAAAGTTCTATCCAGAAGGTTTTATCTGGAAACCTCCGTGCACTGGAAAGAAAACAACATGTGGCATAACACACCTGGATTATTGCAAGAGCATCCTGGTTTAGCTCTCTGCTCTGTAACCTTACCTTACTATCCCTCCTGTGCAGTGTTTTTGTATTAGATGAACATTTGCAAAACATGAAATATATTACTTCTCTGCTAAAAGCTTCCGGCTTTTCTTCACGCCACTTTGCCTACATCATAACTCTTCTTCTTCTTTCTTCTTCTGGATAAAATATATCTCTTTCAGTCTGGACATATTGAGAGTCACTATTACTGGTTCCCACCATACTAATTCAATTACTTCTGGGAATCACATCTTCAATCCCTCCACATGATCTCTGAACATAAACATACTCTTAATAAATCTGAAGGCTTTGATTATCACTTCCCTACACGCCACTTGGAATATATTTTCTTATATTTTCTACATATTCTAGTGAGACTTTCTTCTTTCTTTTATCATGGACCTTATTAAAAGTTTGACTAAATTGATGCCATACTCCTGAAACTCACCTTTGCACTGGTTGATAAGAAATCTTGGTATATTCTAATGCAAATTATCCTTCAAGACCCAACCACCTAACTCTAATTTCATCTCCCTGATTACTTCTTCAATGACATGTTAATTGCTTTCTTCTGTAAATTGCCATGACAGTTAATCTCTCCTTGATCATAGTCCATGTGTACTTCAAGATCCTAAAAATCAATTTTTCACATATTTTGTAGTTCTCTTTATATTTAGCACAAAATACTTTGCTAACATTTGTTAAATGAATACAGATCTTTTAAATTATAGCAAATAGTCTTCAAGTTCCTAGGAATTTGAAGCAAGTAAAAAATCTTATTAAGGTCTATGGTAGTGTTTCTTTACCTTTAATGTCTTCCAGAATAAACTGGGAAGTTTTAAAATATTCAAGCTCTTACCTAAGGATTCAGATTCAGTATGTCTGGAAGATACCACGAGATTCATGGTAGTCGTTGTTTGTTTTTATGCTCCACAGAGAGTTCTTACCTGTAGTCATGGTGGATAACTATTTAATAGGCTGACAATAAATAAACCAACCCTCAATAATAGCCTATTTTTATATTAAAAAAAAGAAATATGTAAAGTTGTTACATATTTTTAAAAGAACACTTTGCTTGCAACGGTATCATAATAGTTACATCTATTTATGTTTAGTCATAATAATGACAGATTAATCATAATAAGCTTACTGATGTAAGAAACTTATATTCATCGAATCTGTTTCTGCAGTTATAGTTTAGTGAGTGTAATGAAGGGAAGATTCAAATCTTATGCTGAGAGCAATGTAAGAAACTAACGAATCCTTGTTAATTCATTGACTTAAAGTCAATTTTAAATGGACTTTCTGAATATTATGATTTCCTAGTAATTTTTAAAATTCTTACCATAAAGTGGAAGAGAGATTATTCTCTAACCAATAAATGTTTTTATGCTTTGCAGGTTTTTATTTTGGAAAAGAGAGGAATAAAAAAAATGTATTTTGTGGAACTTTGCAGAACTATCTGTTCTACAAATCGTGTCCTAAAATATGACAACATATATAATAAATGTTTACACAAAGTGGTTAACCTATATAAAGTGGAAACTAGTTCTATACTTAAATGTACTAGTTAACTTTCTTTCTCATCTATTTAATTTCAGTACCATTTGAATATGTTTTCTTGAAATACAGAACACTATTTGAATATTTACTATAATAAGAGCCTTTGTTAATGTCACTATGGTGACATCAGAATGCATTGTATAGTCATATTGTGACTAAGGAGAGTGTGGGTGCCCAAAAGTTCAATATCAAGGCAGTGGAGTTTTCGTTGCTGTTGTCATTGTTTGGTTTTGGGATTTTGGTTTATTTTTAAAGCTTGGAAGAAAGCTAAATTCCAGCTCCTATAATACTTTTCTTGTTAATGAGTAGTTTTGACCCAAGATTAATTTTACCTTTCTTCTATTTTGGTCCAAATATTCATAGCCTTCTGATCATAAGCTTATTTAATCTTATCACATTTAAAACTATTACTTTGAAATTATCATAAGAAAAGTATAGACCACGTTTTCAAAAGTACAACTATCTTTTCTGTCATCTAGCACCTCAATCTCTATACCTGTTTTCAAAGATATAATTCATAAAGTTATGCAGGTCAATTCCACATAACATCTGACAAATAGCTTTGTCACCCATCATTAATGGGTATATACATGTCAGTGAAGGGCAGCACTTTATGAGAATACTAAAATGTCTTAAATGTGGTATTGTTAGTCCTGGCAGACAAGGAAAGAAAAAGAAATCTCTTCAAGGCTGGAGAGTTTAGATTCCTCAACTACAGTAAATAGATCATGTCTATTTAACATCTTCTAGATTTTTGCAAAGTGAGCCTTGTTCTTCTTTTATGCAAGGGAACTTTTATCTTAGGAAAGGTTTTGCTGGATTTTTCAGTATCTGTTTTGGAGCTGACACTCAAGCCAAATCCAAGAGTAATGTTAAACATAGATATTTTTCACTTCATTTACTTTTATTACATTTTTCTAGCTTACTTAAATTTACCCCAGGGCTGTTACATATAGGTAAGACATCTTCCTATATAACAAGCAAGAAGCTAAATATGAAACTTTGGCTGATATTGGCTAAGCTTTTGTGCAGAATGGATCTCAGAACTGCCACAATTTCTTTGATGAACTCACAGTTCCCATGAAAACTTCTGAGCCTTTAATGACTTTGTATTTTCTCACAATAGTATTTTAGCTTATGCTTATTTCACCTAAAACTTTTCTCTTCTACTTACCACATAAGACTTGACTTAAACATCAAATTATCCAAGAAGATGCCTCTGATCACATTCACTCAATAAAATTTTAGTCCTGTTAACTCCTACAGCTCTTACACTCAAAATCACATAGTTAGAAATTATATACTATCTGCTACTAAAGGTATTTTCACCCTTGCTTTGCTATTTCCATTTTACTTCTTGAGTACAAGGCCCATAATTCATATTTATTTGCATCCTCCTCAATATTAAGCACAATGACTTTCCATGAAAGTTAATTAACATGCATTGGATGATCCACATTTGATGATAAATTAAATCAAGCTCAGTTTGTAATTTCTAGATTAAAACTGGCAAATATTTACATGGTTCATGATAAACTTTTCTGAGATTCTAAATGTAAGCACATCCTTTGTTCTGATTCCTTTTTCTGTCAAAATTCTGAGTGGTTTATTACCCACTATCTATAGTATAATAATAGTTTGTTATTTAACCAATAGTAGGACCAGTTATAGAAATTAGAATTAGCAAATAATTATTTTTTATGCAAATATGTGTTCACAAAACAAGTTGATGTTTTAACAATGATTTAGTTAGAATTTTTTTAACTGGCAAAAGTAATTTACATTCCTGCCTCCAAAAATAGCTTAAAATGACATAAATTTTGGAATTGTCTAACATCAAAAACATGAATGGAGTTAATTAAGTCATATGAAAATATTGAGAACCAAGCACCAGTCAGTTATTTCCCAGATTTTGTGAATTAGGTGCCGTGAGGGTTTGGCTGAAGACTCCCAACTCAATAAAGGCAAAGCAGTAAGGTGCCATAATTATAATAAACTCACTAACAGACCACTGATTTCTATTAGAACAAGTATGCTAGGTCCATAGTTTGTCCCATATACAAAAAATAAACTGATATTTTAAGAGATTACAATAATAAGTGAAAGTTTATTGTTGAAAATGTTGCATTTCGCTACCTAAACAGGCTCAAAAAAAAATTAATAGAAAAAAAAACCACATTAGTAGACTAAAATTAAATCATGGATTAGATCTCCTGGTTACGAATATACTTCAACCTTGAAAGGATACATGATTTTGAATTTATAAGCATGCTAGCATCATGGTAATATTATATTATATTATATTTTATGTTAATTTCCAGTGATGATAACAATAATGAAGCTGCAGCAAATGTTAGGAATAATGACTCTCAGAAATGGACAGGTTTTCAAAACTCCAAAGTCATTGCCTTTATATGTCTTCAGTGATTACTATTAAAGATCTAGATGACCAACTATTTTTAACATGAAACATTACATCTTTGGATTCATTTACAAACAGTGAGCTTTTAAAATATTTCATACCATCACCAACCTGAAGTATTTCAAAGCTGAGCATAGGGAAAGTAACACAATCTCCAAAAGTTATATATACATGTATGATATGTATCTGAGACTGTGAATGAAGTCCTCCTAATGTTTATCTTATCAGATTTGCATATTCTGGGACAGTTGCATTTCAATATCTAGAATGAAAGGCTTTTTCAATATTGTAATTGTCAGTGGAAACCAAGGCATAATAATCGTATTAGAAAATCATACTTAATTATAGTACTTACAAAGATGGAAAGCATTCTTGAAAGTGTAATTCCAGGACTGATATTCTAAAACAAATTTACATAAACTTAGTGGTCATTATGTATCTAGCATGCTAGCATGAATTGTCCTTTACGGTTAACTATCCATATTTGTATTAGCAGTAGTTTTGGCTTACTCAAAGAAATATAAGAAAGTCAACATTGATTTTAGTGGTATGAATGACTTATATTTTAAGATTGTAGATTTTTTAAAGTTCAACATTATAAGTCATAATAATGACATTGTGATAACATTTTAAATAATAATATATTTTTAAAATAATAAATATATTAAAATTATTTTAAAATGATATTTTTAAAATATAAGTAATGCACAATGAGTTATTCCCATTATTTTTGGTCTCTTCCTTTTAGAAGTGATTCACAGAAAGGCTCCAAGATTTGCTGTAGAACTCAAAAAGTATTGAGTGATACTTACAGCAGTCAGCAATATGATATCACCCTGAGCGAGATAGGTTTTTATAGAAGGAACCTGTTAAACTCAGTTCATGCTTTTGCATAATGAAGATTTGCCGTGTCCACAGGCATGTTTATTTGGGATGACAAGCTTAAATTAAACCATCATATATCCTTCAATAGCTTTCCTTTTGGAATAGGTCCACCCCCCAGAAAGCTGCCATACATATCTAGACTAGTATGTATATTGCCGCAGACACAATGGACTCTAACAGGATAAGAATATCACAGTGCTGCTGCGGTAGGTCATCAGTGAAGCATGTAATGGAAAAGCAGTGAGACTAATCCACAGTTGCAAAAATAGAGTTGTAAAATAATTTAGGCCAAGTTAGTTTCTAAAAATATTGAGAAATGGGTTTCATGTCCTTTCGATATGTGTATTTTTAGGCTGTTTATTTTAATAGTGCAAAATCTTAGCTATGAAAGTGTTGCTTTCAAAATATGCCACAGAGTGTAATGGTTAAGAGCTCAGACTGCCATGAAACAGACTTTGGTTTGAGTCTATTGGTGGCTTATAATTGCTATAAGCTTGGGCAAGTTACTTAAACATGATAAATCTTTATTTCTGTGTTCATAAATTTTGCATGGTAATAATACCAACTTAACAGAGGGCGTCTAAGACTTATGTGAGATAAATAATGTAAAGTGCTTGGCATAGTGTCTGGAAAACAGTAATTGTTGAATAAATGTTACGTATCTGTAAGATGGTAGATGAAAAGAGTTCACAGTTGACAGAGTGATAAAGCCAACACAATGATACTTATTTACTAAAATCAGTCTTCTCAATTCAGTAACATTATGTGCAGTCCTCTCTTTCAAAATAGAAACAAGTAAACTGCAGGTTATTTTCAATCATTATCTGTGTACATGGATGTTTTCCACAAACCATCAAGTAAAATGTGTGGTGATTTAAGCATAAATACTTCCAAGAAAACCACATTAGCTATATTGTGAAGACTGTCCTCAAAGATTGAGTTATGGACAATTTATACTGAGTAATTTAATAATCTTGATTTAGTTCTTTATATGAGGAAAAAGTTACATATTTGTTTCAGCATTTAAATAAATGTAATATCCAAAATTATATCAAATACTGGTTTGGAAGCTAGATTTTGTTCATTAATACTTTAAATTGTTTAAAGTCTCCATCATTTCACACCAAATTTTCTTTTCCAAATTTCTATGGAACCATGCACAGTAAAAATGCAATCTAAATAGTGCCCTATGTTAATAAAGAGAATACATTAGTGAAAATTAAGAAACTTGAGTAAAGCTCAATTTGAGTAAAGCTGTGTGACAAATGTAGGATTTATGCTAATTATGTTATAGAATGATACATTTTAGTGAAAATGATTTAAATTGATTAAAATTTATAATATAATTATATTGGCTTAGACCTAATGCATTGTAGTTTGAACTGACTCTAGAGAAAAGTGAGCACAAGCACATCTGGGAAAGGGTGTAGAACATGCTAGAGACTTATCCAATCTCTCAGAGGGAGTGAATGACTGAATGAATCTGGGTTTAGGATCTGAGCTTTGAGGATGGAGTCTGTACCATGGCTTGCTGGAATAGGAAATCTTACAGACAACATATCTTCTTTTGTTTAACTTTTCTAAGTGTCTCATAGTGATGTTTTCTTCAATGTTTTTTATTTTAGCAATAACCAAATGAATATGTGACCTTATTTTTTTAACAACATTTTTAGTCTAAATCCATTCTCAGGGAAAGGACGTACTCTGCCTGCTCCACTCATTTTCACCTATGACTTTGGGACATGGGTGCACTTAATTTAATGCCAATCTAAGTAACCTAGGTAAGAAATATAGTCTATATTTTTCTTCTATTATCCAGAATTGAATAATAGATTAATGATAATCTCCTTTTCAAGGCATATATTCACCACCGGTCCATGTATGGCCTACTTTTGTTTGTTTGTTTAAAAGTACCTGATCCAATGCAAAATCTCAATTAGTGACAGTCTTTAGGAAGAATGTGTTAATGGTCCTAATGGAGAGGCTTGTTATGTTATAAAATCTAAAACAAGATTTATCTTTGTCAGTGAGTTCTGGAAGAGTTTCTCTGAGAAAGTAATACTTGTGGCAAGATCTGAAGGATGAATAAGAGTTTACAATGTGGAGAGGGGAAGAGAACAGCATAATGGGTATGGAAGAGAACATTTTCAAGTTGCCTACTTCATTGAGAGGAAGCACAGCAAGTACAGACATCTGAAAGATGGCCATTGGGCTGGGGTGAAAAGAGGGAAAGCAAGGGTGGTATCAGATGGACTAAAAGATAGAAGTAAAGATCCAACCATTCTGGGCATTCTTGGCTATGTTAAATGTTTGTTTTTATTTCAAGAACAATGGAAAGCCATCAGAGTTTTATGTAAGGTTTGACACAATCATATATGCATTTTAAAAAGGAATCTTTGGTCATAATTTGGCAGAGATGCAATTGAAGCTATTACTAGGTTATTGCTATAGTCCATGCAGAAAGGGATGGTAGGCTGGGCTGATATTTTACCAGTAAATTAAAAGAAAAAGGCTGTATTTTGCAATTTTTGAAAGTAACTAAAATTATGTTTTAAAAATTCTAACACCACCACGTCTTTCTGTGTCTACAAATATATCACTGGCATATGAAATGCTTAATGTAATTACATTGTTTGTGATACTATTTAAGTCTCATGGATTGCTACATGGTAACCACTGAAAATAAAATTTTTGAATGACTGGAAATAAATTCATCGAACAAAAAGTGCTACTTTATTTAAGCAAGAACAAGTATACTACAAGTCACTGGCAATTACAACACAACATTGAAAAACTGTACTTAATTGTCAAGGATAAATTTGACCTATACTTCAAATTATGTGTAAACAATAGCAGATTACTCAATAGAACAACTACTGAGAGTCCAATTATATTGTAACGAATTCTATGCTGCCTATTTGAAATAATTTTTTCTCAAAGCACAGAACTTTAAATAGCAATAGCTATTAACTCTTGCTATTAGTAACAGCTAACCTCTAAAACTACTGTGAAATTATTAAATATTAAAACATTCCAACAGCTGAAAAATAAGAACTATTTAAAAAGTAATGTGACCAAGTGAGCAGTACTTATCACTAGTAGTAAAAATATGTATAGGTTCCAGTCCAAACCTTATGGATAAATACTTATGTAACAGATACTTATGGAGTACTTATCATTAGATATATAATTTAGTTTTTTAGTGATTACCTAGGATAGCACTTCCCAATGAAACTCTCTGGTATAATATAAATGTCTTATATTTGTGCTGCCCACTATGATAACCCCTAGTGACATATGACTACTGAGCACTTGAAATATGTCTAGGATGACTAAGGATCTAAATTTTAAAAAATTATTTAATTTTAGTTAATTTACATTTAAATTCAAATAGTAATAAGTGGCTAGTGATGGCTGTGTTAGATAACAAAGATCGAGGAGATTCAACTTCCTCAATATTTAAACGTTGAAATTTATGGATGGAAAAAAAATGCCTTTCTCTAGGTCATAGAATGAAGACAATTCAGCTATTTGGTATCTAGAAATTTCTCATTGATTTAAGTAACTTGTAACACATTTTATAATTTTGATACTGTTAATACAATGGAAAGTCAGAAAAAAATTGTGTCAAAGATAGCTTATAGACGAGTGAGAGATTAGCTACACCTTGAATTATTACTGTGAAGAATAGTTCTTGGATCATTCAGGGAAGATTGATTAAAATAACTTTTGTCTTTTGTTGTTGATGTTCTTGTCCTTATTGTTGAGAATGACTATTCTAGAGATGAGCTGCATTTTAAAAAATTGATAGTAATCTATAGACCATAACCTAAGTAAGCATATTTCTTGTATTAGCCCAAATATTAATGGCTTACATCAATATTCATTTATTACTTCAAATTATCTGTAGGTCAGGAAACTGGGAGTGGCTTAGCAGAGTCCTCTGCATTAAATTCTCTCACAAGGCTGCATTCAAGGTCTTGGCTGGAACCGCACTCTCATTAGGGATGAATCTATAGATACTTCAAAGCTCAGTCATGCAGTTTTGCCAGGTTTCAATTTCTCAGAAACTGGACTGAGGGTCTCCATTCTTTGCTGGCTGTTGTCTGATGCTACCCTCAGCTCCTTTCCTAGTGGGTTCCTCTACAGGGCAGCTCACAACATGGAAGCTTGTTTCATCAGATCAAAAGAGTAAGAAATGCCAAAGAGATAGAGATTGTGAACAAGATGGAAATGACATTTTTTTATGGCTTAATTCCAGAAGTGACATCCCATATCTTTTACTTCAGAAGCAAATCACTTGGTTCAGTTCACACAAAAGAGGATAGGATTACAAACGAGCACACTCTCAGGAGTTGGGGATGATTGGTTGCCTTTTCATAAGATACTCATCACATTCACCTAACTAAGGTGACAAAGAATTTTGTGGGAAGCATATGATATTTCCAGATATTTATCTGAAGCCCCCTAAAGTACTTTTGCTTTAAATGTTAAAAAACCTCACTTAGATAGGAGAAATAACTTCAATTTTTTTTTTAGTTCAGTTGCCCAGCATGGCGAATAGAGAATAATTTAGTACTGTACATTTCAGTACTAAGAGAGTATATTTCAAATGCTCTCATCACAAAAGATGGTAAATATTTGAGATAATAGATATGTTAATTGGCTTGATTTAATCATTTTACATTTATTAAAAATCATAATATCACTTTGTACCCCATATACAACTAGAATTTGGTGACATATAATAAAAAGCTTTTTAAAAATCTTTAATAAAATAAAACAAATGAAAGACTGCAAAGACACTGATGTGATTTTTTTCAACAGTAAATTCACATTGACAACTCCAATTCCATAAATATCAGTTCTTGACATTGTCAGGTGTGCTTGATATGGTGTCAGTTGCTGAATGAGAAGTGAAAGCTGGCAACGTTCTACTACAGGAAGTATCAGTTATCCAGTCCTGAACACCATTTGTTGTGTTTTATTTAGCATTGTCCAATAGCTCCATTGTTTGCAACCTCCTCTTATTGCAAAGATGATGATCTGATGTCTTTGCAACAAATTGCCCACAGTTCTGTACAGACTACTTGTCTGGCACAAGGGTTAACTTTGAGTTAAGAACGGGCTTATTGGCCGGGCGCGGTGGCTCATGCCTGTAATCCCAGCGCTTTGGGAGGCCGAGGCGGGCAGATCACGAGGTCAGGATATCGAGACCATCCTGGCTAACATGGTGAAACCCCCTCTCTACTGAAAAAAAAAAAGACAAAAAATTAGCTGGGCGTGGTGGCGGGTGCCTGTAGTCCCAGCTACTTGGGAGGCTGAGGCAGGAGAATGGCGTGAACCTGGGGGGCAGAGCTTTCAGTGAGCCTAGATGGCGCCACTGCACTCCAGCCTGGGCGACAGAGCGAGACTCTCTCAAAAAAAAAAAAAAAAAAAAAAAAAAAGAATAGGCTTGCTAGCTTTTCCTCTAGTATGAGGAAAGTAATTATACAATTTTCTATTCTAGGACAGGGGTCCCCAATCCTCAGGCCAAAGACCAGTACCCGTTTGTGGCCTGTTAGGAACTGGGCTGTACAGTAGGAGGTGAGCAGCAGGGGAGTGGGCATTACTGCCTGACCTCTGCCTCCTGTCAGATCAGCAGCAGCATTAGATTCTCATAGGAGCGCGAACCCTACTGTGAATGGCGCATGCAAGGGATCTAGGTTGCCACACTCCTTATGAGAATCTACTAACTCCTGGTGATCTGAGGTGGAACAGTTTCATCATCAAACCATTCCCCTGGTACCCCCTCCTGCCTGTCCCCCACTTTACAGTGAAAAAATTTTCTTCCATGAAACCAGTCCCTGGTGCCAAAAAGGTTGGGGACCGCTGTTCTAGGAGACTGGTTATACATACAAAATGTCTTTAATTACAAAAGGAATCCACATGTTCCATTTCCTGTGAATTTTGGCTAGAGATTTTCTAAAGAGTTGAAAATTATGCATCCTTGAAATGGCAGAATTTAACTGCTAATATGCTACTAATTATATGTTGTATTATTCTAAAAAGATAAGAGAGGGATTTAAGTAGGAGATATGCATAAGATGCAAATTTCATATCAGTTTTTACAGGATAGTGTTGTAAAATAATTAAGATCAAATACTTGAAATGACATAATTATATCTATCATGTCCTTTCATTTAGAAACTGTTAGCTCCCGTGGAGCTCTATGTTTCCTTAATCACTTTGCAACATTTCGGCCTAGTGAGCTTACTACCCTGTTTTTCTCTGAGTCCTTCTCTAGCTTTCTAAATTTAAATACTCTCCAATCTTTTATCTATTTTTGTAACTCTTTCCTCCCACTTCTTCTGCTTTGGGCTCATCTCCTCACGTCCAACCTAAATTCCTTGAGCTTGAGTCCTTCCCTAGCTTTCTAAATTTAAGGGTGCCTTAAGATCAAAACTTCAGCTTTTTGCTCTTCTTTGTCTAGACTGTTTAGTTATTGTCTCTTGAGGAAGTTATCTGCTTCAATGATCATTTCTGATGACTCTCAGATCTACACATTCAGCATTGCCATCATCTTTCCTAAGTTTAGCATGTACAACTGCATGCTAAGTATCTGCAATTGAACAAATCAGTGTTACCTGAACTAAAAAATGAGATAGCACAGAATGACAGTAACATATAATTGGCGTGGGAAGAGTAAACAAACTTTTCTTTTAAGCTTTTTTCCCCTCTGTCAAATAGCATATTTCTTTTAGCAAAGTTTAAAAGTTCCCTACATCTCTTGACTCAAAACATTGCAGTTATGTGACATTCCTTATTCCAAGTTTTCTTTAAATTCTAGTCAAAACACTTTTGAAATCATTATGTGAGCCTGGCAAAGTATATACAAATAAACAAGATTAGCCAGACAAACTCTAAGAAAGAATGATAATAGGGATACGCCATATATGTTATCGTAGCTGTTTTTAAGTTTAATTTATGTTCTATAAACACTGGTGCAATAGAAAATAATTTTTAAACAAAATAATTAATTGAGGAAATCAAAAAGGAAAGGTGTGTATTGGCTGGGCTGTAAAAAAAAAAGTTTTGTCAATGAAAAATCAAAAACAAATTGAAAAGGCCAACAATCACACAAGCAGAAACCATTTCCCATCATTATTTTATATACTATATCAACAACCTGTGAGAGTGGCTCTCTTATAACGATCTCACTAGTATTATATATGAGTATTTTTAAAAGAAATACCTCTAGCAGATGGTATCTTTTAAAAGTTTCTTGTTAATAAGTAGGTTAAGAAAATATTGCTCCATGCTCAATTAGGTAGTTAGCTGCAGAGATGTCTAAAGAAGGTTGAACAATTTAAAAGCAAAACTGTTCTAAGCTCTAATTTTGCCAGAGTCAGAGAGAGTTGGGCGTTCTTTTTAAAAAAACAAAACAAAACTGTTTTGTTGTTTTTATTGTTGTTGAGATTTTGGTGTTCTAACATTGGTCAGAAGTTAACTGCATCTTGTAAATGAGTAGAATACTAATACTATTACTTTGAAACAGCTCCATTAACTTAGAGGAGCATAGAAGCTCAGTAGAGAGAGCCTGACTCTGAACAGTGTTACTGTTTATAGAAAAATAACCCAGGGGGATTCAGAAATGACCTAAGTATAATATACAGGGAAAGTAAACTAAGACTATCATGTATCTGTTGTTGAGAAACAACTAATATCTCATATTCTGTACAATCAGGGCTTTCTAAGCAAAAATTACTGGGAATCAGGATTAAGAGATGTTTGAATGGTAAACAGGCCTACGACCCATCTCCCCTGGAGCCATTTATTTACATTCCAAAGGGTTGCAAACATCTAGGGATTTTTCTCGCCTCCCTCGGAGAGGATATGTTTGTTAGAAACAGAATTTCTTCTCTCTGGAGAGAAAGAGGGGCTGCTGTGCAGCTGTTTCTATATAAGCTGCGAAATGTATAATCTTAGTGATCCTCTCTTCTCCTAGAGACTCTCTCTATATGTACAGAGTTCATCTTCCCTCATCACGTCACCTTGAGGAAGAGAAGGGGGCATGGGAAACTTGTGTCATTATTGTTTTAAAAAATAATGGGACTGATCTTTGGTGCAGAAACCTTGTATTTGCTCTCAAGTTAAATACATATTTAAGCTGTATCATCTGTTTGTGTCATTTGTGAATATTAAAAGGTACACAGAACTAGAATGTAGAGTGTGATTCTCTCTTTTGTTGTTAGTAATAGTGGTTCCAACTTATTATTTATTCTTACAGTCACAGAGTGTGTAAATACTACTACTTGTTTGCATAGCACTGTGGGCACTCTGGGTTTCATATGTCTTTAGAGACTACAGAGCTTTTAAGAGAGGGGAATTGCTAACAAACGTGGAAGCAAAAGAGACCAAATTAAAACAAAAACAAAACAGTAACATTACTTCCGGGTATTTGAGCCATGACGCTGTGAACTCCAAATATCTGAGACAAGTCTCAGTTAATTTAGGAAGTTTTTTTTTTTTTTTTTGCGCCAAGATTGAGAACGCGCGCCCATGACACAGTCTCAGGAGGTCCTGACGACATGTGCCTAAGGTGGTCAGAGAACAGTTTGGTTTTATACATTTTAGGGAGACATGAGACATCAATCAACACACCCAAGACGAACATTGGTTTGGTCTGGAGAGGAGGGACAACTGGAAGCAAAGGCGGGAAGATTCAAAGCAGGGAGGGAGCTTCCAGGTCATAGGTAGATAGGTGACAAATCGTTGCATTCTTTTCAGTTTCTGATTAGCCTTTTCAAAGGAGGCAATCAGATGTGCATTTATCTTGGTGAGCAGAGAGGAGACTTTGAATAGAATGGGAGGCAGGTTGGCCCTAAGCAGTTCCCAGCTTGACTTTTTCCTTTAGCTTAGTGATGGGGGGCCCCAAGATTTATTGTCCTTTCACAGTACTTACTAATACTGAATAGAATGGATTTGCAAGGTCCACAAAGGTCCACAGAGAAATCATTCTCAAATAGAGTTTAAAAATCATTCAGGTGAAAACATCTAAAATCCTCCCTAATTTTTTTTTTTATTCAATGGTCAAATGAGAGGGTTAGAGAAAGTTTATCATAGTGAGTTTTTCCATAATGTGAAATTTTACTCACTTCAAATAAATGACTTTTGTTCTGAGATTTGTTACCAATGTTTGAAATTTGAACCTTCTTCTAAAGAACAATGGTAACGGCAAATTAAATTTTATTTGTTGGTTTATTACATGGTTGATGAAATGCCGCTACTATTGTTTTAAAGTTCTGTTGAAAATGACAGCATGAAGTCTCAAAACCAGTGCTTTAAATGACTTGTGTTTCTTACAGTGGTTGATACATTTAGTTATAGCATCAGCCTTAAATAAAAGTAGATTCCTTGAGTTAGGATGCAGTAAGCTGAATCCCAGGTTTGAATAACTCATAAGTATGAGAATACAAGCAAATAAGTCACTTTTACATTTTAAAGTAGAAAAGATGTCACTTTGCTAATATCTGCATAAATATTTATCTTCTAATATATAAAAGACATGAAACATTTTAAGTAAATACAACATCAAGGTAAATCAAATTTCTTCCTTCATGAGTTTCTTCTTAAAGGTATTTCTCATTTCCTTCTGGAATTGAGAAACACATTTAAGCAGACAGTATTCTTGCTGAACATAGTTTTATTAAAGTTCTTAAGAAGGCTGAGAGAAAGGGGCCAGAGTATTCAGGAACTTGTCAACCTTTTTTAAGGCCATTAGACTTCATCTTTATGGCAACAGGAAGTAACTGAAGAATTTCAATTATGTGTGCACTACGAAATCATACATATGAATATTTATAAATGATTCCCTCTGGCTGCTGAGAAGAAAATGAAGTGTTGGAAGGTGTAATAGGTGAGAGATATGAATGGCAGCAAAAGCAGGGTGGAGTCAGACTTGTGATCAACAAATTAGTGAATAGTCCAAACTACATGTGTTGACTAATTTCTTCTACATAACCATTTACGAAGACATAAACTCTTAATATAGTAGAGGTGAGTAGTTAGAATTTGCTTCAACAAATAATTTAAATTATATGGCTTGAAACTGTTTATAAGACTTTCTTATATTTGAGGTAGGTTAAGATTGGATCATGTATAGTTATACCTATATAAATACAGTTATAGACATATAGATAACTATTTGCATTTCTATTATGCATAAAATTTTATAAACAGTAAATACTGTATAATGGCTGCTTTAAAGGTGAATAACATTCCAAGTGTTTCTTCACATTTTGAAGGGAGATAAAACCAGAAAGAAAAGCCCCCCCAAAAAGAGATAGTTAATGGGTACAAAAATACAGTTAGATAGAAGAAATGAGATCTAGTGTTTAGTAGCACAATAGGGCTACTATAATTAGCAATAATTTATTTTATATTTCAAAATAACTAAAAGAATGGAATTGGAATGTTCCTAAAACAAAGAAATGATAAATGCTTGAGGTAATGGACACCTGAATTACCCTGATTTTATTATTACACATTGTATGCTTGAATCAAAATATCACCTGTACTCTATAAATATGTACAAATATCTTTAACAATTAAAAATTAAAAAATTTAAAAAACAACTTCCAAAATCTCATTCGTCTTTTTTTTTTGAGATGGAGTTTCACTCTTGTTGCCTAGGCTGGAGTGCAATGGTGCGATTTCAGCTCACCACAACCTCTGCGTCCCAGGTTCAAGCGATTCTCCCACCTCAGCTTCCCAAGTAGCTGGGATTACAGGCGTGTGCCACCATGCCCAGCTAATTTTGTATTTTTAGTAGAGATGGGGTTTCTCCATGTTGGTCAGGCTGGTCTCGAACTCCTGACCTCAGGTGACCCACCCACCTTGGCCTCCCAAAGTGCTGGGATTACAGGTGTGAGCCACCGCACCTGGCCTAATCTCATTAGTCTTTAAAAAAAACTTTTTTTTTATTGTAATTAATTGTCATCTCTTTATTGTAATTAATCCACTCTGGTCGAACTCAATTAACTAATAATGTTTTTACATTTCTTTATCACAATTTTGGTTTGATTTAGGATCCTGAACATTGGGAGAAAAGCAGGTGAAGTGTGTGCAAAAACCCAGTGCATTACTATGTGTCCTCTCCTGTTTCGGCGTTTCTGCTTTCATTCCTTGAACTGACTCCAGTGATCTTAGGCTTAGAGTTGCATTTATAACCTTCTCTGGGAAAATTTTTTATAGCTGTGTTTTGAAGCAAGCAGAACATCAAGAAAATAGTTGCTCAGATATGTGTGAAAAGAAATTGCAGGTATGCAAAGATATTTTGGAGGAAATGTGTGAAGGCTATATTTTTTTAGATGAAAAGCGAGTTAGGTCACCTATATATAGGATTTCACCTGATTGTGCCTATTTTATTTAGTTAAAACCTGAATTAAAGTATTATCTGTCTAATGGATGTTTGGATAAATTAGATTAACGCTTAATTTGCTCTTATAAGTCTAGCTGAAAAAAAAGAAAGGTTGTAACCACCCCTACTTGCATCCACATTTTCTGGCAATTCCCCTCCATAACCATCCCACATATACATTCCATTATGGAATAAGAATAAAAAGAAAAAAAAAAAGAGAGAGCCTATATTGAGACAAAGATAGGCCTGGATTCCAGTCCGTTTTATCACTCACTGTAGTGAGACGTTAGACTAAGGATCTGAATTCCTTATTGCTTGGTCAAAATAGTCAGGAGTCTTTTAGAGTTTGAAACCCAATAAAAAAAAATCTTAGGCAATTAGGATAATGTATTGACTGTTGTAATCAAACTGAACCAAGGATAGGAATGGAGTTCAGGGATGCCCAGAAAGAGAGACTCCAGTACCACCAGAATTTCTCTCTTCACTTCCCTTCCCTTCACCTATTTTCTCTTAGATAATTTTTTTTTTATCATTATAGCTTTTCCACCAGAAAGGAAAGAACTTATGTATCTTAGATCTAATTGAAAACATTCCAGGGAAGAGCTTTGATTAAAATGTCCAACTTTTATTGTCTACATATAAATCCAGGAAGATGAAATAACATAATTGACAGTAGCCACTGGAGTGTACTGAGTGAAGTAAGGAGAGAAACAGGTCCCCAAATAAGGGGATGCTAACCAAAAATCAGAGAAGTGATTAGCATAGAAGAAATTAGATATCAAATAGGCTAATAAGGTTACCGTGAGAACTATAAATATGTATGTCAATAGATAAAACCTAGCCTGGCATGTATTAAACACTATATACACATGGATTTTCTTTTTATTTTGTTTACTCCTTTAGAGATGGCATAATGCTTGAAATAATGCTAGCACATCTTAATTCTACTGTATCTTCAATCTTTGCAGTCAAACTTGATACATTTCATCTCTTCAAGGATTCCTTTGAAATACAAGATTGTTCAATTAAAAAACTATCTCAGATGAAGAAGGCAGCATGATGTTGTGGTAAATAAGCATACATTTTTAGAGTCATATAGAGTTGGGTTCTAACCTTACTTCTGCCATTTGCTAGCTCTGTACCATTGAGGAATTAATTTTTGTATAGCTCAGTGCCTTCATCTATAAAATATGAATAAGGCAATTTCAGGATGCAATAATGTTTATAAATTGCTTAGCAGAGTGTTTGGAAACAAATAAGTAAATTATAATTCTTTCTAAGGCAGTTCTGCAGCTCCTTTATTTTTCAAGGGATCCTGACCTGCCAACTTATCCTAACCAGGACAACCCAATTCCTTAAAGATGACCAATAGACATTCGCTGAGTGTTCAATCCTTGGAGTTTTTGATCTTTAAATATTTCCTATACAGAGATTCAGACAGTTTTGTTTCAAAATAGAAAGTCAGAAAAACAAAGACCATGTAAATCAATGAGAGGAAAAAATTAAAAGGTACATCAGTTGTCAATTCTAATTTCAATTTTTCCATTTACATATTTACTGAACCTGAAGAAGTCTTTAGCTTTCCTCATTTTATCTGATTAAATATTGTCACCTGTAAATCTAAAATGAGACACTACAGTTCAATATCACAGCTTGCATGTGAAGAAGAAAATGATAAAGGATACTATGAAAAGTAAAACTATGAGGTATAATTAACCTACAATAACAGGTTGTTAAAACGAACGTATGGCATACTGAATGTTTTCATTACTCATGTGTATCAAATATTTCAGTGAATCTAAAACTGCTGGGATCTATTAATTTTAAAAAATAATTAAATTTCTTTCAAAGTTAGCAAAACACACTCTATCCTATCAAACCATCTCTTAAATGTAACCTTTTAGCAAGTACAGTCACAAGCTTGCTGTCCTCACATTGGGTTAGGCATAGTCAGTAGAAAGATGCATGTTACTTTATTTTGTGGTGCTTACATTTTGTTGGGAAGAAGATATCACAGAGAACAGGACAAGTCAGTGGCTCAGGAAGCCATGGGAATGCACTGCTCTGATCTTTCATGAGAAAACCTGCTGAAAGGAGTATAGTTAGATGCGCCATTCACACTGAGACTTTTCTCTCCTCAGGCTTCTTCCACCTAATCACTGCACGGCGGGGGTACACCAGGCATTCCACTCTTGCCTAATGTGTCACTCATCTAATAGGCAAGTTTTGATCTGGGGCTTCCCATCAGGCATGTCACAGCTTTCTCAGAGCATCACTACAGACAGAGGCTCTTCCCCAATCCTCCTTTCTTCTTCTTTCCTTTCACAGGTGCCATCTTAGTTGGTTTTAAGCTGCTATAACAGAATACCACAGACTGGGTTATTACAAACAACAGAAGTTTATTTGGCTTATGGTTCTGGAGGCTGAAAAGTTCAAAATTCAGTGACCACATCTGATGAGGACCGCCTTGTCACATGATCCTGTAGTGGAAGGCAACAGCGTGACAGAGAACAGGAGAGAGAAGGCATGAGAGAGCCAAGCTTACTTTTATAACAAACCCACTCCTGCCATAACAGCATTAATCCATTCATGATGGTAGAGCCCTCCTGACCTAAACATGTTATATTAGGTTCTGCCTCCTGAGACTGTTGCATTAAGGGTTGTTTTCAATGCCTGAACTGGGGAGGATACATTCCATCTATGTCAGGTCTTCAGCCTGCATTGGAATCTGAAGCCCCCTCTCACTTCTGCTCCTTCCTCCTTTATTCTTTATAGGCATTTCATCCAGTAAATCTCTTGCATGAGTAATTTTATTCTGATGTCTTCTTGTCAAGGAAACACACTGATAAAGTATCCAAATGAGCATTAAAATCAATGATTCTGTGACTGGGGTTCTAGTTAAATGATGGTAATAAAATCATAATGAGGTCTCCAGTTATTTTTAAAAATCTAATGAAAGCCATATTTTTATCCTGACTTGTTCTGCATAAATTATTATTTCCTAGTTACATTTAGCTTTCTAGAAAAATAAAATAAAAATGAAATATTTAGTGTTTTGTCTTGCCTTCCTTGTCCACAATCCTGTTTTGAAGTGTATTTGCACCCTCACCTCTTCACTCTGGTCTCAGCTGATTGTACCAAGGGCCTCTCTGGTCCCTGGAAAGAAACCCCTTGTCCTGGGCTAAGCTAATTAAATTTCCTTTAGAAATAATAAATAGAATTAACATAAAAATTGAAGTGCATGCATGGAGTTTGAAGAATACATAGATGTTTGTTGGATACTCAGCTGGAACACAAGAGTATGACAATCAAGAGAGAAAAGGATAAAAATAGAGACAAGACTATAAAGACTCTGAGAGGTGGAGAGAACACCTTTATTTTCACTTTCCGTTTTTGTCTCTGGTCCTAAGTTCTGTCCATACATAATTCTCTCTCTACAATTGTCTAAGAAACTTAACTATTTGAATATTGAAGTAATTGGGGAAATACTTCAATAGAAAATAAGATTGAACTAGTTAACTGAAGCAAATTAGTGAGAGCCAGTGAATCGGAGGACATGATGAGAGGTATAAAAATTTATCCTAGAGGCAGCATCAATGAGATCCAGAGATACATTGAGGAAAAAAGTGGAGGATAAATTATACCTGGAGTGACATTATTCATTCTTGTTTAATAGATGCTTGTGAGGATTGTTGGGGATTTAAAGAGCAGTCTCGGCGATTTAGACACTCTTCGTGTAATGATGGGAAAGTAAGTGCAGAGATAACATTAAAAGAAAATGATGTAAGTCAAGGGAGTCAAGAGATAAAACGCCAATAGAGAGACCTAGGGAAGAAGTTTAAGGTAGGAAGAAATGTCATCACTTTGATGTTTCCCAAGGAGGGAGATGGCATTTGAGATGAATATTAAATGATAGATACAAATTTTATGGACATTTTGTGGAGGAGGCTATATAAGTGCAATGGCAAGAAACACAGGGGTTAGAGTCAAGCAAAGGATAATTCATTTTTTAACATAATCTCCACACAGTAAATGGCAGGGCAGGTGTAGTCTACACTTTATGGAGTCTTGATTTCACTGTTAAAGATCCTGACGTAAGAGTTGACAAAACTAGATGACTGACTTGTATATGGTGAACAAAGAAGAGAGAAGATCTGAAAAATTTCCTGGCTCAGAAGGATAAAAAAATGATAGTCCACTGACTGAAACTGAGAAGGTGTATGAAGGAATTAAGTTGATAGAAAGATGTAGTGGTATAAATATAAAGTAATAAAACTTTAGGGCAAGAGTGGTAAGCTTGAGAAAACCACAGTGGCTTGCTAAACAACTTAAAGGTAGGATTTGCTTTTTAGTATCTAACCCTCACTTAAAAATACTCTTTCTTACAATTTTACTGCAGTCTCTGCTACTTAGGGTCCCTAGGTTTCCCATCTTTAATTTTACTTAATATAAACCCTTTCAATACAGAGGGAATAGATTTGTATAAATACTTACTTCTTCCAATACTATATATATTTTAACCTTATCATTACTCCCTGTAAAAAAAATGTGAAATATTAGTAATCACGCTAAGGGGGGTATTCTTTGGCATATGAGAAAAAAGAGTCTTCAATTCTGCACTAAAATTATGCCATAAGACTTCCTGCCACCTCTGCTTATACACAATGTTACCTCTGGCCTCTATGTAACCTGAAAGCATGGAGTAAGAGACAAATTTGGAAGCGTAGGTTGAAGATGTAGATTTAGGAGTCATCATCCAAAATATAAAGTAAATTAATTCATCTGTTTTATAAATACTTATTAAATATTTGCTATGAGCCAGGAACTCTTATGGGTGATAGGGATACGATAGTGAAAAAAAACTCAGAAATTCCTGACCGTGTGAATTTTACATATGAGGAGAAAGATAAACAACAAATATATATATAAGTAATTAATGCACAAATTTATAAATATGCAAGTAATTTTATTTAAAATTGCTAAGTATGATGTACAGCAGGAAAAGAGGGGACAGAAGAACTGAAGAGTAGGAAAAAATGTAATTTAAAACAATCAGGAAGACACCATTAAGAGGGTAACATTTGAGCAGACTTGAATGGTGTGTGGGAATGAACATCAAGAAGAAAAGGCATTGAGCAGAGAGAACATGTGTGTTGTCACCATAATGACAGCTGGACAGAGAGGTAAGGTAAAACAAAATAATTTCTGTTGCTGCAGCTGGTCCAAATATTGTAATTGATATTCATTTTCCTTCTGTATTATGACTCTATATTTCCCTCGTCTTAGACCAGCACCACAGCTGGCCTGAATTGCTTGTTTGCCTCTAGAACTACTGTTCTACTAGAACTAGAAGGCTACTCCCAAGGATTTGAATCCTTAATTTGCTGGCCTCTTGGGCTATTTACTTTAATCACTGGGCACAGAAAGACCAAGCCATTTCCCAATGAATTTCTTGTATTCTAGGCATAACCTTCCCTACTCCCATTTCATAGAAGTAAACTTATTTCCTGATGATGGCTAGAAGTAACTACTTCCTCTGCCTGCTAGTACAGTTAGTACCAGTAACATGAAGAGTCCCAAAAGACCAGGGAGCAGTTACAACTTCAAGTTCAGTGGAGCCCTTACTATGTATTTTAGCTGAGTTATTTCTGCTGAAAACCACCACTTGTAAACAAGCAGAGCCTAAGGTAATTGAAATTAGGTAATTGAAAGGTAATTGAAAACAAATTGTATATTTGGTTCACCAGAAGTAAAAGTAATAGAGCCAATCCTACTTCCACCTCTTGGTCCACACATTCAATCTATAGAGCACAAAATACCATATATCAGCTGATAGTCCAATGCATATACTGCATCCTGAAAAGCAGTGCTCTAATCTGGAGAGTATAATCCCTAATCTGATGCACTGTCTGAGCCTTTAACAAACCATACCATTGGTCAACTACTTCTGATTAATAGGTTGTATGATAAGATTGGTGTATCCCATGGCTGTACACCCATTATGGCTCCTCATTTTTTATAAATGTGCATAATCCTTTGCAGGAATATTGTGTGGAATATCATTTTAATAGACCAGCTATGATGTAAATTCATGATTATTTGTGCTGTTAGTAATGCTAGCAGTTGCACTGTGGACAGGAAAAACAAGCCCATATCCATGGTAAGAGGTAATTCAAATATCACCTGTTCCCTCTAAGAAATGGTCCAATATGATTTAATTGCCACCAAAGAAATGATTGTGTATTTAGGAATGATGCTATATAAATTGTTCAGCATTAGTCTCTAGGGCACAAAGTTGGTCATTCGGAGGTGTGATTAACTCATCAGGGATCTGAGTTTAAAGAGAACTAATCATGGTGGATTCATATACGTTTTCTGCCTTTGTTTCCAGGGTTGCTCTGTTCACTGAATCAGCACTGAACAGAAATAGATGACTGAGCAGAAATAGACTTACATCCATAAGATGAGTCATTCTAGTAATCTAAAATATTTTTAGAATTTCTTCCATGTTATAGACTCATTAATAGTCACCTGCTCTCTGGCTTTTCTCATAGATGTGTCCATATACATTTTCTTGAGAGCTTCTTGTCCCTGGTTTTCAAATATTATACCTTCTAGAACCTTGATCAATCAGCAAAAGCCACTCCCTCCTGCTGAGGAGCCTGTATATACTCATACTTCAAGCCACTTTTCTCCATGTGATAATCAAGTCTTGCTACTGGAAGGCTCTTCCCTTACAATTGTCATTAAGACAAGCACTGAGGAGATCTGTAATGACAGAAATAATATATAATAGAATATAGAATATATAGTATTATATAATATATAAATAACATAATTTAATATATTAAAGTGTATTATTTAGACAGATAAATGTATCTATGTGCTTGCATTCATGCATCTGCCAATAAATTTTTAAAAAATTATATGTATTAGTCAATAATTAGAACAATATAGTACACTTATATTTTAACCAGTCCTGATTTTTTTTCCTTCTTTGCAAGTTGATCATATGAATGTCTTCATAAGATCACAATTTGACTTGAGGAAGAAGCATAGATACAATAGAACTAGGTAACATGAGAATTTGAGCCACCCATATATACAACTTACTTGTAAGTTTGGAGCTTATTAGACCCAATTCAAAATATACCATTTGCATTTTCAGTGGTCACTGTGGCTATCTGGTTACACGATCTGATGGATCTTATAATGCCAAGCTCATGGTAGATAACTTTAGTCGCATAGTCATGTAATGTTCCAGGTAAGACATTGACAATGTTGAACTTCATCTGAGCCCTGTGCTTCCAGAAAATATCAATGATTAAGAAATTTCTCCACTCTTTTGTGTTCTAGGAAACTGTCATCACAAGGACCACGCTGTTCTTATGTATTCTAAGATAAGATCTGCCTCCACCTTTCCAGAATGTCTCAGATAAAAGAACCATCTCTAACCTTTGTTGCAAATCCCATAAGTCTTACACATGACTCATTGGTCTACCTGTGTCTATTTAATCTCAGGTCTCTTTCCTTTATTTGAGGCATTCCTTCTTAATGAATGTTTTCCTATTGCAAGCTCCTAAATAAAATAATCTCCTAAATTCTATGATGCTAAATATATAAAATGTGTTTTATAGCACTTGGTCTTTTTTAGGGCCCTGTTGTATGCCAGGAGCATTTTACAAATTGTGAGTACTTCTTTGATGCATTTTGAAAATATTTCATTATTACAATTAAAAAATACTTTTAGATTATTAGTTGGTTTTGATTAAGAATAATGTCAAATTGCATTCACTAAAATTTTTCTACATCTATTGAGTTGTTGGTTTTCTACTACTAATGTGATATAAAGTACATGAAAATAGTCCCTATTATTAAAACAACAAAGCATAGGAATATACTTTACTTCATTTTGCAGATTAATATTTTGTTATGTTATTTAATTTGCATGTTTTATATTTTATGTGCTTGCATTCATGCATCTGCTGGTAAACTTTTAAAAAATCTATATATTAGTCAATTTGGGCTGCTGTAACAAATTACCATATACAGGGTGGCTTAAGCAGCAATCATTTATTCTTCACTTTTCTGGACGCTGGGAAGTCCAAGATTACGGCACTGGTAGATTCTGCGGCAGGTGTGAGCACTCTTCCTGTTTACAGACAACTATCTTTTCTCATTGCATTCTCATGAGGCAGAGATAGAAAGACTCATGTCCCTTTCTCTTTTATAAGGGCATTAATCTCGTCATCAGGGCTCCACCCTTATGACCTAATTGCCTTCAAAGGCCTCTACTTCTTAATATCATTACATTGGGGATTAGGATTTCACCATATGAATTTTGGGATGACACAAACATTCAGTCTATAGCATCTTAACAGAATTCTTTATCAGAAAAACTGTATTAGAGTCATTTTACTAGATTCACAAAATCAATTGTGAAGTGTACCATGCTTTAAATGCTCTGAAATATTAGTATGATTTGGAAATTATCAATATTCTGAAATTTTGAAAAAATCAATGAAACTGAATCTTCTTTGTATTTTTTATTTGGTAAATACATCTTTAACGTAATTACATTTTAATCATATCATTTGCTATCATATTTCAATCCAAATAAACATGTATTTTATAAAACATAAGATATTTTAGTAAATTAAAAACAGTTTTTAGTGTGTATTTGCATACTATTTTCTTATTAATAACTACATATGTGTGTATGTGTATATATATATATATTTCTATATATAGATTTAGATATCCCTTTTCTTAGTAGTTATTTCTTTGTATTTTCATCTTTATCTCCAAGAATTATGGCTACAAAACATAGTATGAGTATTATGGATCTTACAATGTAATGATCATAATATGACTGACACCTTGGGCAGTGCAGGGAGAGAAAGAAAGAGAGTGTCAAATAAGCTATTTTTAACAATTCTTTCTTAGGTCTAGATTTTGCATAAAATATTTTGAGTAGTTTAAAGATATAAATTAAAATTGTTAATGCTTTTTATAATCCTTATATTAGAGACTTCTAAAGCAATACATATCTGATATTCATAAATTCCTTCAGCGAGAAGAAAAATTTATCTATTTAAAATCTAACTTCTCTCTCCTGAGTCCTCTCCCTCACTCACTTTGGGGAAGTATGGGTAGTGCCAAAATTATCTCAGGATAGTTGACAATAAAACCATCCGTTCCATTGAAAGGTAAAGGCTATTCTTCTGCAGAGCTGCAGCCTAATATTTTAGACTTGATCAAAATCCCACGAGATTGCTGCAGTCATATATTCCTTATATGGGACAACAATGGTGCAACCTAAATTGGTCAACATAAAGATCAGTCTATCTTTCTCACACTGCTCACTGAGGTTCAAATAACTTGAGTGTTCATTCTCATTCACCGATCATTTTGTTATGGAAAAATATGCACTAGTATGCTAACACTGATTTGGGGCTTAGAGACTGTTTCATTAGCTTTGATTTTTATTATTTCTATCTTCTATTTTTTGTGATTATTGTATATTACTTGTGTATCACAACAGTAAGAAGAGATATAAAATGAACAAAATACTACTAGAAGTGTATCTGCTAAAATGTTTCCAGAAATTTTATCTGAAAAAAATTGAATTATTGATGATTTTTTTCTCTCCTTTGTCAATATTTTTAGTACGTCTAAAAATAGTAAAGTAAGAAAAAAGTACATTAAAAAAAAAAGAGCTGTAAGAAAGCTATCAAGATGGAATGAATGGAATAAAGTTGTTATGGTGGATGGGCAAAGAAAAATGTCCCACTTGACTCTTGACACTAACCAGCAGCCTTTCTACTCCAAAAATTTTAAAATTTCGTCTACCCTGGGTTTTTACTCATGATTTCAAGTGTTAATGCCTTATTTTATTTTGGCTTTGAATATTGGTGTTGTTTTTCCTAAGATTTACCTTTATTATTTGCATTCACTGTTTAGAATATCAAGCTCTCAAACTCTGCTCATTTGATGGATATTCCCCTTTTCCAATTTATTTATCACTGACATTTTACAACCTTCTGAGATAAGGATGAAGCTTTCACACTCTCAATTAGCAATTGGGCAATCTTGTTATAAATAATCCCAAATACATTATGAACTATGAACTAGTGGAAATAAATAGTAGAGTTTAAACCAATATTTAAACTATAAACTGGCAATGTTTACAATAATGCATCAGAATAAGTAAGAAAAATGGTAAAATCACTGATGTACAACTAGGTATGGCAAACTGCTTCTTTAAATGTGTACTTAAGAAGTGGTTAACTGGGCTGTTTTCATGTACTGCAGAATATGGGTCAATTAAAGAGAAATTAACTGTTTTCTAAAATCAATAAATTATGAAATGATGAGGAAATATGTTGTAGTGTCCTCCATGGGCACATTAATGCTTTCCTAGAGACGGCATAATTGCTTTGCTCAATTATTCAAAGAAAAGATTGGAATACCTCCTTTGAAAGGAAACCAAATTAGAACTGTGTCAAAGTTCACAGCAGCCAGTCCTCAGGGGCTCTTGCACAATAGTCACTCCATGGATTCTTAGAGCGTTCCATTTGCAGCAGTCAAATTAATTCCATTTAGGGATCTTTCAGAAATAAAAAATTAGTGCTCATGTATTTCCACAATTTTGACTATTAGATTGCCTTGATATATCCATGGGGTTAGAAATTATCACCAGATTGGTCTCTTTCTGAGCATAATTTGCTTCTTGTCTTTTATGTGGCTTGGGCAAAATACATAGATAGATAGATAGATAGATAGATAGATAGATGATGGATAGATAGATAGATAATTTGTAGGTCAAGTGAAGATCTCAGACAAAATCAAGCACTTTTATGGACTGGATCTACTTCCAGATTTACTTTTTCTAGCCTGACTACTAAAATTGTAATGTAAGGACAGAGATGAGGCGCCCTTTCTAGGTTCTTAGCTGTAGCAAGACTAGCCATGTCTTTATTTGTTGTTGTCTTTTGGTTCTTGTTTGTTTTGTTTTTACGCAGGACTTAACTGCAAATAACAAAGGCTTTTTGTGGGATTAAATGAAACCTATCCTATAATTATACATTTTACATAATTATACTTTAAGAGCCACAAAGGGTAAAGAAGGGGCTACCAGTCAGTTTCTATTTCCTCTTCAAGAAGAGCTAATTCCAGGGAGATCAAAATAACTGTTTTTTTTTCTAGATTTCCTTTTTTCCTTTTTTTTCAGTTGTATTGGGGTATAATTGACTAATGGAAATTATAGATTTAAAATGCACAACTTGATGTTTGATATATGTATATATGTATTCTCGGTGAAATGATCAATATAATCAAGCTAATTAACAATTCCATCACCTCATTTAGTTACTTATGTGTGTGATGGGGAGGGGTGTGTGTGTGTGTAGAGGTGTGCGAACACTTACAATGTACTCTCCTAGCAACTTTCAAGTGCATAACACTGTATTGTTAACTTTAGTCACCATGCTGTGCATTTTATCTCCAAAACTTATTCATCTGGATAACTGAAACTTTGTACCCTTTGACCAACATCTTCCCATTATCCACCCCTCACCCCAAACTCTGGCAACCACCATTCCTCTCTGTGCTTCTGTGAATTTGTCTATTTTAGATTCTACACAATGTCACTGCGCAAGTGATATCGTGCAGTATTAGTGTAGAATTTCTTATTCAGACCTTTCAAGTAATTTTCCAACATGCTCCAAGAATACTAGTTTCTAACTTCAGAGCCTTATTTGTAGACTCAAAATTTTATGTTCTTTTTTATTTTTTTTTTTTAAAGATAGTCTTTCAGGTCTGAGTCGTCTTCATTTAATTTCTATGGAAGCTTTGGCTTTCTTTCCTTTTATAAACTCAGCAAAAGAGTGGCTTTATCGATGGTGGGAATGGTGCTTCAGTTCTATGTCTCTCTCTACTACCTGAGTAATAATTGTTATAATGTTCTCCCTTGCTTTGTCCATCACTTTGTAATAACTGCGGTGTTAGGATGGTTATTTTAAATTCACACTACAGAGGCAGAATACCTTTTTATTTAGAATACCAGCTGAAAGTCTCTTCCCTCATTGGGGAGTGTCTTGACTTAAATATCATTCCTCGTGGCAGCAACTCAGGGTGTTGTTTTTCAGTCATTTCACATCTGTGGTGTTGTGAGACACCGGTCTCTGCTCTTTGCTGAGGAGTAGGGCCTGTTGGCCAAAAATGAGACGAGGAAACCAAAAGCACAGCCAAGTTCAGATGAATAAACAGTCACAGCGCCAACTAGCTCTGAGAAACATTACCTAATGATAAAAACAAGCTGTGAACAAGCCAAGATGCAGTCCTAACACAGCAAGCCATCAGCTGCATCTGGGATTTTAGTTATAATAGTGTGTGTTCTTAATAGCTATGGTTAATAGGGACATGGAGAGAATGAATGCAATGCATGTGATGGGGAGGGTAAAAGAATGCCAATCTGATTTGTCCTATTTCTGTGAGTCCTGACTGACGCACTGAGATGGGTTTGAGTAAGCTGTTAGGGGCATCAGAGAACTCGGCCTTAAGGACCTGGGAAAAACAGAAACTAGCAAAGCATGCTGATAGGTTAAGTAATAAAAGTTCTTAAAATATAAGTACTTTTCCGATGTTCTTCTAGTAGTGGCTCTTCAGTTGTGAGAATCAGAAAGACGTAACTCCAGAAAAAAAATAAGATGACTACTATAAAAAAATGAATGCAATTCATAGAATCCAAAGCGATGCAAAAAAGTACAGCTGGATTTCTTGGTATGTTAATTTGGAAACCATGAAGCTGGGCTATATTTTTCATCCCTCAGGGTCACATGTTACTTCTCTGCCTTCCAAATTGCACATAAAAGGTAAAACAAATAACTCTGGGTCTTCTGTCTCTTCCTCCACTGCTTTGCAAAGCCATGCACTCCATCCTATATTTATTAACTGACATAACATATATGAGTTTATTAGGAAAAATGGAGTTCTATTGATTTAAAACTTCTAAAAATGCAAACTAGTTGCACATAAGAATCATCTGAATGAGAAAACAGAATTTCCTAGGGTATAGGAAAACTTTATTTTAAAATTCACTATAAATCATCATTTAGAAACCATTATAGTAGCTTGTGGGTAATATTTTTTTCTGAATATTTTCAGAGAAATTGTTTAATAAATTTTCATTTTTATACTAAGAGCATAGAAATGCTTCTCTCAGTAGAGATTAAGGGACTGTTAGTTTATGACATTGGTATATTGGGTGATGGTAACAAGGAAGAGAAATAAATGGATGCAAGAGACCTGAATCCTTCATGACACTCTTTCGCAGGGGGAGAGTTTCTCATGGATGCAAGCCTATTGGAATCATGTAGTAGAGCAAGCTTTTATACTTTGTGGTGTAAAAGACTATCACTGCTAGGGTCCTATTAACCCATTTATGCCTGAGGTTGCAATTTTTTGAATGTTTGCAATCAGGCCTTGGCGATGACCTTGAGCACTAGGATATAAATAATTCCCATATGCTCAGCGTTCCAATAATGGAACACTAGGAATAAATTGCTAACGAAGGTCTATAATTTAACTGGTTTGTGGTGGTATCTTGTTAATGGTATATATATAAACATACATATATATATGTGTGTGTGTGGAGATATGTATATTATATATATAATTTTTTTTTTTTGAAACGCAGTCTCACTCTGTTGCCGGGGCTGGAGTGCAGTGGTGAGATCTTTGCTCACTGCAACCTCTGCCTCTCGGGTTCAAGCGATTCTCCTGCCTCAGCCTCCTGAGTAGCTGGGGTTACAGGATGTCCAGTTAATTTTTTGTATTTTTAGTAGAGATGGGGTTTCACCATGTTGGCCAGGCTGGCCTTGAACTCCTGACCTCGTGATCCGCCCACCTCGGCCTCCCAAAGTGCTGGGATTACAGGCTTGAGCCACCGTGTCCGGCCAATATTTTTAAAGCTACTCTGTAGTTGAGAATCATTGTATTGGAGTTCAAACATATAAAGTTCCTCTAGTATTTTGCAAACTTCAATTTGACTTCATTTTTTGTCATCCACAAAGCACCTGTTCAGTGAATTACACTCATTTTATTTTTGAAGCTGATTATTCATATACAACTTTTTTATCTTTACCATATTTGGAAGTTCTACAATGAAATAAGTAATAACATGACAAAAGTGTAATCAATATTTTAATATATATTTTAGGAAGCCCAATATATTTTATTTCTTAACTGACCCCAACAACTGCACCATTCTTACTTCCCACTTCTTCTAAAAAAAAGGGGAATATAATTTACATTAATATAGCAAATTGAATTTTTGACCATTTCTTTCATTTTGTCTTAATTGTCTATCATTGCAAAAGATTTGGCTGGCAGCTGGAATCTGTTGATTAATGTGCAACACCGCTAGCATTATTACCCACATTTCAATATTGCGTGGCTTTTTAAATAAGAGTAATAGTTGTAAAAGTTTTACCTCTTAATAATGATTGAATGCAGATAACTCCAGACTGTCCAGAATTTCTCAGAGTTCACGAGATGAGGTGAAATGAATCTACCGTTATTATTAACAGCACCTAGAATCGCCATCTACAATTATGAATCAGTAATGCGGAATGGTTAAGAAAATAAACTCTTATGTTGGATGTATGTGGCCAACTTCTAGCTCTATCATTTAAATTCTCTTGTCCCTAAACGTTTTTATTATCTCAGTATCTCACATTTTTCTCCTATAAAATTAGGGTAATGGCAATCATCTCATTCAAAAGATAAATAGTATACAGACATAGTGAGTGCTCAATGAGTTAGTTATTATTTGATGAATAGTATTGATGTGGATTTCTTTCATATTCAGGTTAGACCTACGTGAAATACTCTAACACCTTAATTGAAATACTATCTTCAATGAATCCTTTTTTCTCTTTTTCACGTCAAGGAATGTAATTCATCAACATATATTTCCACATATATAGCATTTCTATATATGTGCTTTGCAATTTATTAAGCATCTTCAGTGTGTTAAGAGTTGGTAACTTCATCAGAGACTCTGCACCTATTTAACCAAAATCATATACAAAGACCTCAAATAATGTTTGTAGCTTTAATTTTCCTATTTGAAATGCCCCCACTGCAATATATTGAAATTATGTAAATAAATGGAGCTCAAGAACCCGCTGGCACCTGGAAAGGTTTATATCAATGTGTTCAGAATGGTTATGTTGTGGAGAATGTTATGGGTATTTTAAGTTTTCTTCTTTTGTCTTATGTTTATCTTCTGAATATTCTTAAATAAATTATTTTTAATTAGTAACGTATTACCTTCACTTGACATTGTAATTTTTTTTATTATAATGCCACCTAAATGTTCTCTGTAAAGTGATTAAAAGCACATAATTTTGAAATGTAAATAGTATTTACACTTACAGTAAATTTTAAACTAATAGAAAATAGTACATTAATCCAAACAAGAGTGCGCAGCCAGGTAGAATATAATTAATAGAAAATGAAAATATTATATCTAGTTATCTGTTAAAAGCATAGCCTTATAATTTACCATATAATACATAAAGCACTTCCTTACTGCTAATAGAATTCAGTACAGTATTTATTAACCTCATCGAAATCTCACTGTCCATCTAAATGAAAGAAATAATAATAAGCTTACATAATCCCTTTTTCTTTGTATACCTAAATATATTTTTTGAAATTCTGTTGAAAAAGTAAAAACAACTGTTTGGGAGCTTAGATATAGATCTTGATATTAATTTGATATATATCCAGTGAATATACTAAGAGCTAATTTAATGTTCAAAGTTTGAAGGGACAATGTCTTGTGAGTATGAAAACTTAAAATGCTCAACCAAAGATTTAAAAATAATCTTATGTCTGAGCACAGAATTTGGGGGGAGACATAACACCTAAAAGCTGTCACTAGGCTCTTTTTAGGACTTTGATTTTATCACATGAAGTGGGCATTTGTTCCAAATTAATTGCTTCTTTCAGTTTTTATTCAATGCCAGTGTATTTTATGTCTCCCTTGCTTTCAGGGTTTAAAAACGGTGAAAAGTATAATAGACTACTTTGGATAAGATTCAAACCTTTTGGCAGACTCCTAAGTAACAAGAGCCAGTACTTAATCAAATAGTATATTTTAGTCCCTACTTTTTTTTTTCAAGCTTTGAATCAATGTTGTTTAATCTAACTGCCCATCCATCTCTTGTGTAAACTTTTATTGCTTTTTAAGTGATAATATGTTGTGAAGAAAATAGAACCTATCAGTAATATATATGCTCTTTTCTTAGAGTATTTCTATTTCCAAAATTTATTTCTTCTCATGTCAATATTTTCCATTGTGCCATAGAAAGCAAACTGTGAAATAGTTTTCTCTTTTTTTATCCACACTATGAACGCTTTTCAAAGTTAATCTTTGAGATATTTCTTAAAATAAACATTTTATTACAGGTAAGATTTTTTTGTCTGAATATTTATATATATGTATTCTTGGACTATATATACATATATATGCATATGTGTATGTCTTTAAAAATATGCTAATTTCTATTTTTCACATCTCTAAACCTGATTTTTTAACCAACAGGCACATTTCCTGTTCCAGATAGATATAGTATAGACAGGGTGAGATGAAGCAGAAAAGCTTCACAGATGCTTGTCAGGACTCAAAACTTTTGGTATAAAAAAATGTCAGTTTTGGTATTGCAACCCCAAGGACATGAGGTCCACTGTGATTAATCACATGACTATCTCTTGTAGTATCCTGCTGGGATACTGTTTCCACAGTATTGAAAGGCAAACCTAGCAAAGGTCTTCAGACGAAATCTGTACAAAGTCTAATGATGTATTTTTTCTTATAATAAAATTCATCCACATGTATCTCCCAAACAAATCCTATGCCTACTTTATATTGATTATGAAGTATTGCTAATCATTTAACACAATTTAGGAGAGTTATTTTAACATAGACACAATTTTTTCTGCTTATTACATTTATGTTGCCTACTAAAGAATTAATAATGAATTAAATTGGGAAGAGATTGGTTCATTTTAGTGAAAAATGTTAAAGCCCAAGATGTAAGCCTGTTTCTAAAGTACTTTATTGAATCCATGTATTTGTCTGTGAGGTTAAAAGTACATATATATAAGTTATTTAGATAATCATGAGCTTCAATATTATTTTCTACTGAGGTCTTGTGTAAGTATGCTTATAATTCCTATCAAAAGTTTGGAATTGATAATAGTGCTTATAATACTATATACTCTTCAGGTAGAATACATGAGTGAAAAGATAATATCTATATTCTATAAGTGTATTCTCAATATTACTGCACAGTATAAATCAACTATGACAAAGTAAAGGTCACTAAAGCACAGCATCTGAACCAATACAAAACTGCTTTCAACTATTGTGACTGAAAATGATGCACCAACTCATAGATTTCAAAACTGCTTGCCAAAATAAATAGTTTGTGCCTGAGCTGGGTCAAATTCACTATCTCCAAATAATTTCTAACAAAAAGTACATTTAGAAATCTGATTCTTTGACAAACGAAAGTTGAAATTCTTTCTTTTATAATTTAGCAATCATTTCAATCCTAAATATACTGTTGATCCTAATTAAACCAAGCACACAATATGCAAATAATTCCATATTTAAATGCAATTAGTAAATTAAACCACCTCATAAACATAAAGCACTCATTATATATATATATATAAAATTTTTTTTTTGAGATGGCGTCTTGCTCTGTTGCCTAGTCTGGAGTGCAGTGGTGCAATCTCAACTCACTGCAACCTCAACCTCCTGGGTTCAAGCAATTCTCCTGCCTCAGCCTCCTGAGTAGCTGGGATTATAGGCACATACCACATGCCTGGCTAATTTTTGTATTTTTAGTAGAGATGGGATTTCACCAGTAGGCTGGTCTCGAACTCCTAACCTCAGGTGATCTGCCTGTCTCGGACTCCAAAAGTGCTGGGATTATAGGCATGAGCCACCACAGCCAGCCAATTTACATAATTTTAAAAATTGGTATGTACCTTTTATAGAGAATTATTTTCAAATTACTACAGTAGAATATATGACAATAATATAATATTGCTAACTATATGTAATATATATAATATATAATGCTAACTATAATTGTGCATTGTGATAGTCACTGGTCTCTTAGGTGCTTTACGTAATTTAATCTCACAAAGAACACATAGAAAACATTTTAATTTCTATTTTCTGTGAAGAAATTAAGACTTAGAGAATTTAAAGAACTTGCACAAGGGTATATAAAAGTTTGGATTCAAGATTTGAATTACCTGTCCTTAAAACTACCTACCTAAATAACTGATTAAACCCATCTTATGGCCACAGTCCCCTCTAGAAACTATCTTCTCCTCTAATTCCACTTAAAAAGATAATTTTCCAAGAGACTTTTTTATAAAGAAGCCTCATTTTCAATTATTTTAAAAATGTTTATTTATAAAATATAAACAGACAAAGAAATATGAAACATAATATAAAGGAAGACTAACACATTGCATTACACGATAATATACATAGTAATACAAATACTGATAGCAACAACACCAAACTCAAAGGACAAAACATTACAAATGGAAATAAGGCTCCATATAAATGTGTCCTTGATCACAGTACCTTTCCTATGCCTACTCCAGAGATACCTGGACTGCTAAATTTGGTGTTTGATAGCATGTATGCTCTTATGGTATTTCTACATTATGCTGGTTTTTTCCTCTGGGGAGTAGACACCAAAGTAGAGTTAGAAGGAAGTGTAATAGTCAAATTAGGGTTAACACTTATGAAACATAAAGAGAGAGAGCAGGAAAAGGTCAATTATTACAATATCGCATTTTCTTCAGAATTACCTTGGCTATCTGTATTTGACATTTGCATGTCTTCTTTGGTAAAATGTCTATTCAGATGTTTTGCACTTTTTAAATTGAGATTTCACTTTCTTATTGTTAGCTTCAAGTGTTCTTTCTTATATATTTTGAATGTAAGTCCTGTGTTAGTCCATTCTCACACTGCTTTAAAGACATAACTGAGACAGGGTAATTTAGAAAGAAAATAGGTTTAACTGACTCACAGTTCCACAGGCTGTACAGGAAGTATGGCTGGGGAGGCTTCAGGAAACTTACAATCATAGTGGAAGGGTAAAGGAGAAGCAAGCACCTTCTTCAGATGGCAGAACAGGAGAGAAAGAGTGAAAGAAGAAGCACTACACACTTTTAAGCAACTAGATCTCATGAGAACTCATTCACTATCAGAAGAACAGCAAGGGGGAAGTATGCCCCCATGATTCGATCACCTCACACCAAGCCCCTCCCCTGACACATGGGGATTACAATTCAACATGAGATTTGGGTGAGGACACAGAGCCAAACCATATCATTCCATCTCTGGCCCCTCTCTTACCTCCTGTCCTTCTCATATTCATGCCTTCCAAACAGTCCCCCAAAGTCTTAACTTATTCCAGTATTTACTCAAAAGCACAAGTGCAAAGTCTGATCTGAGACAAGGCAAGTAATTTCTGCCTATGAACCTGTAAAATGAAAAACAAGTTAGTTGCTTCCAATATACAATGCAGGCACAGGAATATTGGGTAAATATTCCCATTCCAACAGGGATAAATTGGCCAAAACAAAGGGGCTAGACACCCTATGCAAGTCCAAAACTCAGCAGGGCAGTCATTCAATCTTAAAGCTCCCAAATAAGTACCTTTGTCTCTGTGTCTCACAACCAGGGCATGCTGATGCAAAGGGTGGGCTCCCATAGCCTTGGCAAACACCACCACCCCTGTGGCTTTTCAGGGTACAGCCTGCTCCCAGATGCTTTCATGGACTGGCATTGAGTGTCTGAGGCATTTCCCTGGTGCACAGTGTAAGCTTTCAGTGGATTTACCATTCTGGTGTCTGGAGGACGGTGGCCCTCTTTTCACAGCTCCACTGGGCAGTGCCCCAGTGGGGACTCTGTATGTGGGCTTCAAACCCACAATTCCCTTCTCCGTGGCTGGGGAGTCCTCAGGAAAATTACAGTCATGGTGGAAGGGCCAAGGTGAAGCAAGCACCTTCTTGACATGGCAGAACAAGAGAGTGAACAGGAAAGTGTTGCACACTTTTAAACAATCAGATGTTGTGGTTCTCATGCACTACCAGGAGAACAGCAAGGGGGAAATCCATTCCCATAAGTGATTCACCTTTCACTAGACCCCTCCTTCAACATGTGGAGATTACAATTTGACATGAGATTTGGGTAGGGACACAGAGCCAAACCATATCAAGTCCCTTAACAGATACATGTTCTGCAAGGACTTTCTTCCAGTCTACAGCTTGTCTTTTAATTCTCTCAACAGTGCTTTTTGTAGTACATAAGTTTATAATTTTAATAAAGTCTAATATATCAATTTTTCTTTCATGGATAAAGATTTTGGTGTTGTATGTAAAAACTCCATGAAAAATCCAAGGTTACCTAGATTTTTACTGTATTGTTTCTACATGTTTTCATAGTTTTGGATTTTAAATTTTGTTTCTCCAGTTTGAGTTAATTTTTCTGAAAGGTGTGAGGTAGAAGTCTAGTGTCATGCTTTTGTACACAGATGTCCAATTTTTTGGAAAATTATATTTTTTCCATTGAATTGCCTTGCTCATATGTCAAAGATAGACTGGCTATACATGTAGGAATCTGTTCTGGTTCGTTGATCTATGTGTCTATCTTTTGCCATTACCATGCTTGTCTTAGATACTTAACTTTATAGTAAGTCTTAAAATATGGTAGCGTCAGTCCTCTCCATCTTTTATTTTACATCAGTATTGGGTTGGCTATACTATGTCTTTTTCCTTTCCGTATTAACTTTACAATGACTTTGTCAATATCCCCAATATGACTTGATGTATTATTGATGGGGTTTGTGTTGTATCTGTAGATCAAGATGGAAAGCATTGACATATTAACAAATTGTTTTTACCAATATATGAACATGGAATATCTTCATTTAGATTTTCTTCATTTTGTTTCATCAGAGTTTTATAGTTTTTATAGACTTTTTTAGATGTATAACTAAATACATCATTGTAAGTGCTATGTTATTTAAAAACTCAAATTTCAGTAATCTATTGCTGGTATATATGGCAAAAATGACTGTTATATTAATGTTTTATTTGTGATTTTGATAAACTCATATATTAGTTCTAGGTGGGTTGTTTTGGGATTTTGGGGGGGCAGTTTTGGGGAATTTTTATACACATAATCATTCATTTGCAAACACAGGCAGTTTTGTCTTCCTTCCTAATCTTCATACCTTTATTTTACTTTCTTATCTTATTGCATTAGCTAGAACTTCCAGTAGGATATTAATTAGGAGCGGTGAATGAAGACATCCTTGCTTTGTTTCCAGTCTTAGGGAAAACCACCCAGTATCTCATCACAAAGTCTCATATTATTTCTAGGCTTTGTAGGTGCTTTTTAGAAAATGATGAATATTTTTTCTAGCATTAATTTTCCAAAAATTTTTACTGCGGATGGTGTTGGATATAGTCAAATCTTTTTCTGCCTTAATAATATGAACATATAATTTTGGTTCTTTACCATGTTGTTGTGGTAAGTCCATTAATTAATTTTCAAATGTTGAATTAGCTTTGCATACCTGGAATAAAGCTCAGTTTGTCATAAGGCGTAATTCTTTTTATACATTATTACATACAATGTACTAATATTTTCTTGAGGATTTACATATATATATATTCATGAAAGATATTGATGTGTAGTTTTCTCTAATTGTGTTGTCTTTATTAAGATAATGCTGACCTCACTGAATGAGATAGGAAATATTCCTCTACTTATATTCTCTGAAAGTGATTTGGGGAATCGATATCACTTCCTATTTATACATTTGATAGAATTTGCCAGTAAAAATATATAGGCCCATGCTCTATATTTTATGATATTATTAATTATTGATTCAATTTATTTAATAACTATTGTCCTATTGAGATTATCTATTTCTCTTATGGGAGTTTTGGTAGAGTGGTTGAAGAAATTGATTCATCTATGTTATGATATTTATGATATATGTGGGATAGAGTTGTTCACAGTATTCCTTATTATCTTTTAATATCATGAAATCAGTAGTAATGACCACTCTTTCATTTCTAATATTTGTAATTTGTGTCTTCTCACTTTTGTTTGGTTAGCCTGGCTAGAGTTTTATCAATTTAATTTCAAAAAAACTTCAAAACAATTTATCAATACATTTCAAAAACCTAGTTGCATTTCATTGTTTTTCTCTATTGATTTCCTGTTTTTAATTTTATTGTTTTCTGTTCTAATTATTTCTTCTGTGTTTCTTCTACTTCCTTTAGTACTACATTCTTTTCTTTAGTTTCCTTAGAAGGAAGCTGTGTTATACTTTTAGAGTTTTTGCTTTTTCTCATATGTGTATTTAATAGCATAAATATTTCTTTAAACACGACTTTCACTCTTCTAACAAATTTTAATAATTTCTATTAATTTTTATTTAGTACAACATTCTTAAAATTTATTTGAGAGATTTTTGACCCGTTTTTATATAAAGTATGTTGTTTTATCCTTAAATATTTGGAAATATTCCAACTATCATTCATTTACTGATTTCTAGTTTAATTCCACTGTGGTCTGAGAGCATATTTTGTACAATTTCTATTATTTTAAATTTGTTAAGCTGTGTTTCATGATTCAGAATGTAATTTATCTGGGTGAATTTCCACATGAGACAGTAAAGAATGTGTATTCTGTTATTGCTTTATGGAGTACCTTATAAATGTCAATTATATCAAATTGATTGATAGAGTTCTTCAGGTCAACTTTATCCTTACTGATTTTCTACCTCCTTGATCTATCAATTGCTGAAAGAGGAGTGTTAAAGTCTTCAACCGTAGTAGTAAATTTTTCTACATCAGTGTTCAATTCTATCAATTTTTGTCTTTTGACGACCCTAAGAGCTCTTCCTTATATACAGTTTGAGTCTTGCAGTTCTTCCAGCTATAATCCATTTTTATTATACTTTATGCGATGGTAAGTACTAGGTAGTGAAGGAAAGTGCTTTATAATCTTATGATTAAATCTCAGTCCTTTAGTATGCTTGTGTCCCTGGGCTATGTTTCTCACAACAGGTTTGTTGTTGTTGTTGTTTGTTTGTCTGTTTTAACTCTCCCCTCCTCCACCACCACACATACCCTTAAGTGAGACAAGAAGGCTAGAAGGGACTAGAGTTGGGTAAATTGCCTTTTCTGCTAGGTGGCATAAGGCTCTGGAAGAGAAGGGGATTGTTCTTAGCTCTGCATTTTGAGAACTTTGTGAGTTTCCTGAATGTAAAACCCACCAGAATGTGGGGGTTCCCCTAAGATTATGACTTTCAGAGGTTTCTCACTCTCAAGAATGTCCACACTCAGTCTCCACCAACTTGTCTATATTTTAACTTGTCTATATTTAAACATTTCTAACAATTCTGCCTCTAGCAGCATCCTCCCTAGGTAAGTGGTTCCCAACTGTATTTCTGTGTATTTGCCTGTCTCTCCAGATTTCAGAGTGGTGATTTGCCCTGTAACCTCGGTTCTCTGATGGGCCCAAGAAATGTTAATTTTACATTTCTTCATTTCTTCTATTTTGGTAAAAAATGAAGTAATGACTTCCAAGCTTTTTACATGTCACGGCTGAAACCAGAACTCTGTTTGTTTGTTTAGTTTTCAGCATATATGCTAACTATACTTATTAGTTTCTACCTGTTTCATGTTTATTTTTTCAAGAGACCTTACTTTTTAGAGCAGTTTTATGTTCACAGCAGAATTTAGCAGAAATTAGAGAGATTTCCTATATACCCCCTACCCAACACATGCATAGCCTCCACCATTATCAATATCCCCTACCAGAGTGGTACATTTGTTACAACTGATGAGCCTATGTTGACATGTCATTATCACCCAGCTTCTATAGTTTCTATCAGAGTTCACTCACTCTTGGTGTGATATATGTTTTTGAATGTTACTATACATGGTACATTGTTTTTTATTTCCAATTGTTCATTACTAGTATATAGGAATAAAGTTGATTATAAAAACCCCAGGAGAAATTTTAAAAATGTGGATGTAGCTGATCCACAAAGAAGTTTTTAGAAAATATATGTCTATCAATATGTATCTATAGATATGTACATAAAGAGAAGGGGATTCTCAGAATAAAGAACACCTTATAGATTATCTAATTTAATCTTTACAACTCTGTGAGGAGAGTATAATTATGCCTATGATTATAATTATTATATTCACAGTTTGTAGATGATGAGACTATTGCAAAAAACATTAAGTAATGACTAGGTAGTTACAGATAACAGACATGCATTTGTAGTTTCAAATCTCATACATAAGATTTGTTAGATTTGAAGGGCTGACCAAACATTGAAGCATTCCAGCCATAGCTTGGATTTACAATAATAGAAAATATAAGCCTGGAAAAGAGGCATGGCCTGATTCTCTAAGGTTTTAGGATGCCTGAGTAAGAAATTTGGACTTTATTAAATCCAAACTTGGATCCAATGAAACACATTAAAAATGAGAGTTACTTAAAGCATCTCGGTAGCAAGATCGATCTGACAAAAGAGTACATGATAAATGAGGGCACTGAAACAAGACAGACAAGAGTGTAGTTAGTGAAATATTGCAGGCATCATTGGAATGTAGCTTTTGATATGCTATCAGTAGGTGGAACCCACTGGGCTAGAACAATATTTTAGAAGGTATTATAGATTTATATGCAGCAAACTCTCTGTAAGTATATAAATAGAAATTAAAGTGTTATGAACCACAAGTTTCCATTCTCTAGAACACATAATCATTTCCAAGTAGTAACAGAAGAAATGTTTCCCAGAGTAATTTAGAGATTAATTAACAGCTTTATAGAGAATTTACTTTTGTTTTCATCCTTATAAATATCTGGTATTTGTCAAGGTTATTTAGAAGTCACACAGATAAATATTGGTTTTCTACAAGTACAATTGGATATTCTTAATCCTAGCATATCTTGCTATCTTAATTTTTAAATAATTGGCCTTAAATACCCATTGTAAAGAGTGTTAGCAAATATGCTTTAATGATTTTATTATTATCTACTATATAGGAAATTACTTGCAATGATCGATTCTGAGCATACTAACAAACTACCCCAGAGGTCACAAAACAGAAAGTCAGTTTATTATAGAACAAATTAAAGTTTATTAAAAATATTTAAAATATGAAGTAAGATGCAAGGGAGGAAGGTGGGGCAGGTTAACATGCTTCAGATAGGTTGTGAGTGAGAAAAAATACCTGAAACACAAGTTCTGGATACACAACGTACAAACGTCCTGTCTGTTTTTCTCTCCTCCACCATCCTCTTCCTTTCTAATGATACAATTTTGAGAATAAAAGCCCAAGTATGTTCAAAGGGGCTCATAGACAAAAGTTACTAGGGGCAAAGATACTCATTTCTCTATCAGAGTGATGCAGAGGTAAGTAGCTTGCCAATTAGTTAAATGAATAGTCATGGTTTTATCCACCTTCCTTGGGCAGGACATATCTGGGACTATGATAGGACTATGCTAGGTATTACCATTGGGTGATTTATATAGGGATGAGGTAGCTTTTAGCCTATAGGATGCATTCTCAGTATATGACCTTTCTGTCTTTTTTGATCTTTGTGCAGCACTTCTGTTTTTTCAGCATACATTGAAATTATTCTTTCCATCTTTAGCATGTTCTGTAGTCTATTAATTATTTACTATTTATTTATATTTAGCTCAGCTTATGAATTCTGCCTATATATCATGTGTTAATTATTTATTCATTATCTTCTGTTCCAACATACCCTATGAGTTTTGCCTATATCTCATAATCTACCAGCTTATTTATTATCTTTGCTAATTACTTTTTATGAGATACAATCATGTTATTTGTTTTCTGGTTCTCTAGAGCAGAATTAAGTATTTTCCAATGATAAAGCAAACTCATTACAATATCATATACTACTGTTAATATAGCACCAATTTTAAGAATGAGTTTTCTCAGGACATACAACTGCTAAAATATGTAAGTATCTGGACCATTTGTTTACAACAAGTACCAAATAGCTTTAAAATTTCATCCTTGTTAAGCGCTACTTTGGACAAAGAGTTATATCATCTTTTTTATTAGTAAAAAATAGTTATTGATTTCAGTTGTCATCAACTCTTTAAAAATATAATGCATATACTGTGTTACCTGCAATATTTTATCTTTAGAATTTAAGGTTGGACAGTAAAAATAGTTGGTCCCTTGGCCAGTGCAAAACAAAATTCACCAGTCTGAAGCCTAGTTAGTATCTGAGAAACTGTAATATAAAAAAGGCTACAAAGTAGATTTTCTATTCACTTTGACATATTCAGGCATATTTTACACACTAAGTCTACACGTTCCCTCACCCTTGTTTCTGTATTACCTTTTCATAATGCCTCATTCTCTTGATATTTTCAACACAATAAAAGAATTATTGACAACATAGAACTGTGTATTCACTTTAAACTTTTGGAATGATGGCAAAATACAGACTTAAAAAATTTTGAGATATCACTTTCAAAGACAGGGGAAGAACTAAAATACAGAGTTCAAAAAAAAAAAAAGAAAAAGAAAGAAATGAAGAAACAAAAGAAGAAAAAGAAGCTAGGTCTGAAATATGAGAAGGTATAATGAGCAACAACAACCAAAATGTGTAAAAAACATGTGGATTAATGTAAACAATAAGAATAATGCTAAATGTTTGGGGTCAAAACTGTTGGCACACAAATATGAAAGAATCATATCATATAGGCAGAGAAATTTAAAGATATTTTAAAAATATAAATAATAAAAATTCAACATATCACATTTGTTGGATAGATCTAAGCTGTGCTTAGATTGAAATTATAGCTTTAGATGCTCATATTAAAAAATAAGAGAAAATCCTAAAGTTTACGACATATTGTAGCACCTTAAGAAGCTGAGAGAAAGAAAACCAAGTATGAGTATGAAAAGAGGAAATAATAAATATTGAAGGAGAAGCCAGTAGAATAGAAAACAAACAAATAATAGAGAGAATTAACAGCCAAAAATTGATTTTTGAAAAGTTAGTAAAAAAGGGCAACCATTAGACAGCCAGCCAGACAGCCAGAGAACATGAATTATCAATATCAGAAATGATAGATGGAGTATTAATACAGATTCTATAGACATATCATGAACGAATTTGACAACTCAAATAAATGAACAAGTTTCTTGAAAAATTTAAATAATCAAGACCTGACATGATATAAACCAGAAAATCTAGATATTATGTCTGTTATAACAAAAACTTCACACACACACACACACACGCACACGCACACACACAGAAAGAGAGAGCGAGAGAGAGAATTTAAGACCAGATAGGTATTCTGGTGAATTATGTAAAATATTCAAGAAAGAGATATTACTAATACTTCACCAGTTGTTTTCAGCATGTAGAAGAATTTTACTGGGCCTGAATAACCCTAACACCAAAACCTATGAATTTCATTACAATATTATGAAGATACTGTGGAATGCTGCTAATGCTAAATAGTCTTTAAAATGTCTCAATAGTAAACATATTGGTTAAATTAAGATGTGAGTAAGTAAATAGTCACATTAACATGTAAGTGTTAACAGAAAAAAGGCATGAAAACACCACTTAAGCTAATAAAGAAGTAACAATGGAGTGATTTTTAGAAAAAAACAAAAAAAGCAGAAAAGAAGAAAAAAATTGATAAAAACAAATAAGAAGACTGAATTTAAAAAAACAGATTGATGGATAAATAGATAATAGATAGGCAGGCATAAAGTAGAAAAACAGAAGATATGAATTAACATACAGAAACAAAACTATTAATTATCATAGTCAATAAAAATAGACAAATTCAACAATTAGGAAGTGAATCATCATCAGACTCAATTATAACATTTAATAATACGAAGTATATAAGAAATATATCTACACTTAAGGTAAATAAAATTTTAAAATAAAAAATTAGAAAAAAGACCAAGAAGATGTTTAAAAAATGTGACTAAGATAAAAAAATTTTTTTCTGGCATTCTTTTTTAAATTAATTATCATGGGTATTAAATATTCATATATTTATAATTAAACATGTTGTATGTGTATCACCAAACATGTGATGTTTTGGTATAGGCATACAATGTACAATGATCAAATCAGGGTAATTGGGGTATCCATCACCTAACGCACTTATAATTTCTTTATGTTAGGAACATTCCAATTCCATAGTTTATTTTATGATATAAAATATTTTTAAATAAGGATGCTACCAAATAGTAGATCTTATTTCTTCTATCTAACTATATGTTTGTACCCATTAATAATGCCCACTTTGTCCCCCACCAACCATGCTACACTTCCCAGCCATCATTCTACTTTCTATCTCCCTGAGTTTAATTTGTTTAATTATTGGCTCCCATATGACTGTGAACATGTGTCCTTCTGTGCCTGGCTTATTTCCCATAACATAATGTCTTCCAGTTCCATCCATGTTGTTGCATATGACAGAATTTCATTCTTTTTATGGCTGAATAATAACCCATATTAGAAAGTAACAAGTCAAAAGGCATTGATAGAAATACTTAATTTTTTATTTATGGAAAATTAGTTTTATTTACTGGGAAGAGTTATACATTTTCTAAAGTCACACATACTTCATAACAAAGATAAATTGAAATAGCTACAAGGAGAAATCAATAAATCCCCTAAAACTGTATGAGATTGCAGTTCATTTCTCTGATAGTTGAAACAGACAAAAAGTCAGTATGAATCTATACTATTTTAGCAATATAAATAGCAAAATTGTCTAATTATATATATACACTTATTAGATAACTTTGTTATTTATATTGTTAAAATATATTTTACATATATAAATATATATGAATATGTTTATCTATAAATAATATATTTTATATATAAATAATACCACAGCAAACACAAACACACGTTCTTTTCAAAACAAGCCCACAAAGAAGATATTAGTGATATTCAGATAATTTATATCCTAGTGTTCTCTAACTATGATGAAATTAACTTATAAATCAATAACAAAGTAATGAGAAAGAGAAAAAATACAACTCCAGCAAAATATGCTATTAGAAAATTTAACAAAATCACCTAAAAGGCTCAAATGTAAAAAAGTAAATCATAATGGACATTTTAAATGCTAATATTTAATGATAACAAAAATACTAAATTTGTGTACACAACTGAAGTTTTCTACTTCAAAGCAATTTAGAGCATTAAAATTTTACACTAGAGAAGAAGAAAATGAGCTAGCTGTGTGACGTATGAAGTCAGCAAAATATAAACAAAACAAATATAATGAAATATTAGGTTATGAAATAATAAAGATGAGTTAATATTAATGACATAAAAAACAGAAGATACTTTAGAAAAATCAACAAAGATGTGTACTTTTGAAAATGAAAACCAAGATCTGGCAAAATTTATCAAGACTGAAAAAAAAAAGACAGAGAGAGAGAAGACATGATTAAATAATAGTAGGAGTGAAAAATGGAATAAGACTAAATGTGTAAAAGAATAAAAAGATAAGAAAAATTAAGTATAACATTATGCCAGTAATTTAAAACTGTAGAAAAATAGTCACTTTTTAGAAAAATATAAAGTACTAAAACAGAATAAATAGAGAAATCTCTTTGGCTTTCTTAACTTTGTTATATAGAAACCATCAATAAATGAATGTATTCCCACAATAAAAAGACCAGGCCTAGATAAATGTATAGAAAGTTCTTTTAAACATTCAGATAAAACATGTTTCTAAGTTACACATATGCTTTTGGAGAAAAGAAATATTTGCAACTTGAATGCAGTAAGGCATTAAAAAAGTAGTGCAGCATGGATAATTTTGGTTATTTCTAGAAATACAGTTTTTTATATTAAAAATGTTTTAAGCCATATTGATGGGACGACAGTGTGCCAGGACTCGTTTCTGGCCCCCAACAACTCCCAGGGAACAGTTAAGGTAAATTGGCAAAGAGCAACCCACTTTTACAAAGGGCCTCTGAAATCTCAGCAAGAGGAGACCCTTCAACCACGAGGGCCATTTGAGTTGGCAGGAAGAGCTGCTTACAGAAGTGGTATTGGCAGCACACCAGCTGAAGGCGAGTCCAGAGGGTTTGGTGTGGGAGCATTTGTAGCAGAGTACGGCCAGGGATGGCTGTCACTGTAGGCTCGACTTGCTCTCATAAGAGACTTTAGCCCTAGGAGAATTGGTGGATCTGAACTCTGCAGGGAAGTCTTGCCCATAAGATGGGACTGGTCAGACCTGAGCACCCCTTGGTCTGCTGGCTTTTCCTGGAGTCCCAGCCCAGCAGCATCTGCTTGCATGGCAGCCTTGGGTGTCCTGGTGACCCATATCATAGCTCCCGCACTGGTGCACCATGCCTGAACAGTCAACAGCTCCAGCGGGGCAGGTCCCATGGCCACACACCAGCCCACCCACTCCCTCCTTACACCGCAGCTTCTCCCAGGCCCAAGGCAACCTCCCACATTGCTCTGCTTGCATGTGTGTGCTCAGGCAAATTTTGTCTTACTTGCCTCACCAGTGCACCTGTGTGCACACACACTGCCCTACCACAGCTGCAACTGACAAGAGTGTACTCTACCCACCCTCCTCCCATTAGACTGCCATTTCAGTCAGAGCCTTGGTAGGCACAGAGCCAGCCAGCCCAGCCCTCACCAGGATCCCACTCCTGCACAAACGCTGTCAACATAGTGACGTTAGGCACAGAGAATGGCAAACCCTCCACCATCCTGAGCGACCACCCCCGCCTGTGATGAGCAGAGAACACACACAGATCTGCACCCACCAGCATCCCACCCTCATGCTAACATCACCACCAGCATAACCACTGGCACAGTTGCCAGCAGGGGCTCCGTCATTCCCCCAAGCTGTGCTGCCTTTACCATGGAGGCAAATGCTTGCAAAGAGGCAGGCACCCTGGCACCTGCTAGCACCCTATTGCAGCAGACAAGTATGCACTTCACAGCACTACCACTGCTGCTGGCCCTTGTGAACAAGAACCGATCCCATTGCCACCACACTACAAAATGCTTTGACTAACACCACCAATCAGAGTGTAGTGACTAGTGGTCCAGGAGCACCTTGCCCCACCAACACAGTGGACTCCTAACCTTGAGGAGCCAGAGAACAAAGTCAGGGACTGATACAAGCCCCCAGATATTGAACATGTAGTCCAGGAGTTGAAACCTAAGCCTTTGCTTCCTAAAATCTTTCGAAAATGAAGCCAGTTGGCTGGATCCACCTTATATCACAATAAACCTTCAAGGTCATCAAATAGGATAAAAGAAAAAAAAAATCTATTTTCTCCAAACAACCACACCACCTCCCCAGCAAGGGTTCTGAACTTTCTGCAAAGCAGAAATGACAGAAATTTCTGTCAGGTCACCTACAAAGGGAAGCACATCAGTCTAACAGTGCACATCTTAGCAGAAATCCTACGAAGTTGAAAAGTTTGGGGGCCAATATTCAACATTCTTAAAGAAAAAATTCCAACCCAGAATTTCATATCCAGCCAAATTAAACTTCATAAGCAAAGAAGAAATAAGATTTATTTCAGACAAACAAATGCTGAGGGAATTTGTTACTACCAGACCTGCCTTTCCTTTCTGAAGGAAGCACTAAATATGGAAAGAAAAAATCATTACTGGCTGCTCCAAAAACACACTAAAGTACACAGGCCAGTGACACTATAAAGCAACCACACAAACAAGTCTGCATAATAACAAGCTGACATCATAATGACAGGATCAAATCCACACATATCAATACTAATCTTGAATATAAATGGGCTAAATAACCCAATTAAAAGATGCTGAGTGGCAACATGGATAAAGAACCAAGACTCCTTGGTATGCTAGCTTCAAGAGATCCATGTCATATGTAATGATACCCACAGGCTCACAATAAAGAGTTGGAGAAAAATCAACCAAGCAAATGGAAAAGGCAGGGGTTGCAATAATTTCAGACAAAATAGGCTTTAAACCAACAAAGATCAAACAAGACAAAGAAGAGAATTACATGATGATAAAGGGTTCAATTCAATAACAGGACCTAACTATATTCTAAATGCATGTGTGCACCCAACACAGGAGCACCCATATTCATAAAGAAAGATCTTAGAGTTTGACAAAGAGACATAGACTCCCGCACAATAATAGTGAGAGACATTGACACCCCATTGACAGTATTAGACAGATCACTGAGGCAGAAAATTAACAAAGATATTTAGTACCTGAACTCAGCACTGGATCAAATGGAGACGATAGACCTCTACAGAACTCTCTACCCCAAAGCAACAGAATATACATTCTTCTCATGACCATATGGCACATACTCTAAAATCAATCACATAATTGGACACAAAACACTCTCAGCAAATGCAAAATAACTGAAATTATAACAACCACTCTCTTGGACCACAGCACAATCAAATTAGAAATCAAGACTAAGAAATTTGCTAAAAACCATGCAATTACATAGAAATTGAATAAGCTGCTTCTGAATTACTTTTGGGTAAATAATGAAGTAAAGGCAGAAATCAAGAAGTTCTTTGAAACTAATGAGAACAAAGATACACCATACCAGAATCTATGGGACACAGCAAAGGTAGTGTTAAATGCTCACATCGAAAAGTTAGGAAGATCACAAGTTAACAACCTAACATCACAACTAAAAGAATTAGAGAACCAAGAGCAAAACAACCCCAAAGCTAGCAGAAGATAAGAAATAACCAAAATCAGAGCAGAACTGAAGGAGATTGAGACACAAAACACCATTAAAATGATCAATGAATTCAAGAGTTTTTTTGTTTGCTTTTTGTCTTTTTTTTAATACCTTAAGTTCTAGGGTACATGTGCACAACGTGCAGGTTTGTTACATATGTATACATGTGCCATGTTGGTGTGCTGCACCCATCAACTCATCATTTACATTAGGTATATCTCCTAATGCTATCCCTCCCTGCTCCCCCCACCCCACGACAGGCCCCAGTGTGTGATGCTCACCTTCCTGTGTCCAAGTTTTCTCACTGTTCAATTCCCACCTATAAGTGAGAACATGTGGTGTTTGGTTTTTTGTCCCTGTGATAGTTTGCTGAGAATGATGGTTTCCAGCTTCATCCATGTCCCTACAAAGGACATGAACTCATCATTTTTCATGGCTGCATAGTATTCCATGGTGTATATGTGCCACATTTTCTTAATCCAGTCTATCATTGATGGATATTTGGGTTGGTTCCAAGACTTTGCTAATTTGAATAGTGCCACAATAAACATACGTGTGCACGTGTCTTTATAGCAGCATGATTTCTAATCTTTTGGGCATATATCCAGTAATGGGATAGCTGGGTGAAAATGGTATTTCTAGTTGTAGATCCTTGAGGAATCGCCACACTGTCTTCCACAGTGGTTGAACTAGTTTACAGTCCCACCAACAGTGTAAAAGTGTTCCTATTTCTCCACATCCTCTCCAGCACCTGTTGTTTCCTGACTTTTTAATGATCGCCATTCTAACTGGTGTGAGATGGCATCTCACTGTGGTTTTGATTTGCATTTCTCTGATGGCCAGTGATGATGAGCCATTTTTCATGTGTCTGATGGATGAATAAATGTCTTCTTTTGAGAAGTGTCTGTTCATATCCTTTGCCCACTTTTTCATGGGGTTGTTCGTTTTTTTCTTGTAAAGTTGTTTGAGTTCTTGGTAGATTCTGGATATTAGCCCTTTGTCAGATGAGTAGATTGCAAAAATGTTCTCCCATTCTGTAGGTTGCCTGTTCACTCTGATGGTAATTTCTTATGCTGTGCAGAAGCTGTTTAGTTTAATTAGATCCCATTTGTCAATTTTTGGCTTTTGTTGTCATTGCTTTTGGTGTTTTAGTCATGAAGTCCTTGCCCATGCCTATGTCCTGAGTGGTAGTGCCTAGGTTTTCTTCTAGGGTTTTTATGGTTTTAGGTTTAATATTTAAGTCTTTAATCCATCTTGAATTAGTTTTTGTATAAGGTGTAAGGAAGGGATCCAGTTTCAGCTTTCTACATATGGCTAGCCAGTTTTCCCAGCACCATTTATTAAATAGGGAATCCTTCCCTCATTGCTTGTTTTTGTCAGTTTTGTCAAAGATCAGATGGTTGTAGATTGTGGTATTATTTCTGAGGGCTCTGTTCTGTTCCATTGGTCTATATCTCTGTTTTGGTACCAGTACCATGCTGTTTTGGTTACTGTAGCCTTGTAGTATAGTTTGAAGTCAGGTAGCATGATGCCTCCAGCTTTGTTCTTTTGGCTTAGGATTGTCTTGGCACTGCAGGCCCTTTTTTGGTTCCATATGAAGTTTAAAGTAGTTTTTTCCAATTCTGTGAAGAAAGTCATTGGTAGCTTGATTGGGATGGCATTGAATCTATAAATTACCTTGGGCAGTATGGCCATTTTCACGATATTGATTCTTCCTATCCATGAGCATGGAATGTTCTTCCATTTATTTGTGTCCTCTTTTATTTCATTGAGCAGTGGTTTGTAGTTCTCCTTGAAGAGGTCCTTCACATCCCTTGTAAGTTGGATTCCTAGGTATTTTATTCTCTTTGAAGCAATAGTGAATGGAAGTTCACTCATGATTTGGTTCTCTGTTTGTTATTGGTGTATAAGAATGCTTGTGATTTTTGCATATTGATTTTGTATCCGGAGACTTTGCTGAAGTTGCCTATCAGCCTAAGGAGATTTTGGGCTGAGATGATGGGGTTTTCTAAATATAGAATCATGTCATCTGCAAACAGGGACAATTTGACTTCCTCTTTTCCTAATTGAATACCTTTTATTTCTTTCTCCTGCCTGATTGCCCTGGCCAGAACTTCCAACACTATGTGGAATAGGAGTGGTGAGAGAGGGCATCCCTATCTTGTGCTAGTTTTCAAAGGGAATGCTTCCAGTTTTTGCCCATTCAGTATGATATTGGCTTTGGGTTTGTCATAAATAGCTCTTATTATTTTGATATATGTCCCATCAATACCTAATTTATTGAGAGTTTTTTAGCATGAAGTGCTGTTGAATTTTGTCAAAGGCCTTTTCTGCATCTATTGAGATAATCATGTGGTTTTTGTCTTTGGTTCTGTTTATATGCTGGATTACGTTTATTGATTTGCATAGGTTGAACCAGCCTTATGACAAACTGTCTCTCAGACCACAGTGCAATCAAACTAGAACTCAGGATTAAGAAACTCACTCAAAACTGCTCAACTACATGGAAACTGAACAACCTGCTCCTGAATGACTACTGGGTACATAACAAAATGAAGGCAGAAATAAAGATGTTCTTTGAAACCAATGAGAACAAAGACAACATACCAGAATCTCTGGGACACATTCAAGGCAGTGTGTAGAGGGAAATTTATAGCACTAAATGCCCACAAGAGAAAGCAGGAAAGATCTAAAATTGACACGCTAACATCACAATTGAAAGAACTAGAGAAGCAAGAGCAAACGCATTCAAAAGCTAGCAGAAGGCAAGAAATAACTAAGATCAGAGCAGAACTGAAGGAGATAGAGACATGAAAAACCCTTCAAAAAAATCAATGAATCCTGGAGCTGGTTTTTGGAAAATATCAACAAAATTGATAGACTGCTAGCAAGACTAATAAAGAAGAAAAGAGAGAAGAATCAAATAGACACAATAAAAAATGATAAAGGGGATATCACCACCGATCCCACAGAAATACAAACTACCATCATAGAACACTATAAACAACTCTACACAAATAAACCGAAAATCTAGAAGAAATGGATAAATTCCTGGACACATACACCCTCCCAAGACTAAACGAGGAAGAAGTTGAATCTCTTAATAGACCAATAACAGGCTCTGAAATTGAGGCAATAATTAATAGCTTACCAACCAAGAAAAGTCCAGGACCAGACGGATTCACAGCTGAATTCTGCCAGAGGTATAAGGAGGAGCTGGAACCATTCCTTCCGAAACTATTCCAATCAATAGAAAAAGAGGGAATCCTCCCTAACTAATTTTATGAGGCCAGCATCATCCTGATACCAAAGCCTGGCAGAGACACAACAAAAAAAGAGAATTTTAGACCAATATCCTTGATGAACATCGATGCAAATATCCTCAATAAAATACTGGCAAACTGAATCCAGCAGCACATCAAAAAGCTTATCCACCATGATCAAGTGGGCTTCATCCCTGGGATACAAGAGTTGGTTTTTAAAATAGATAGACTACTAGCTAGACTAATAAAGAAGAAAAGAAAGAAGATCTAAATAAACACAATTAGAAATGACAAAAGGGACATTACCACCAATCACATAGAAATATAAGTAACCATCAGAGAATATTATTAAAAAAACCTCTATGCACATACACTAGAAAATGTAGAAGAAATGTATAAAGTTCTGGATACCTACACCATCCCAAGACTAAGCAAAGAAGAAATTCGTCCCCTGAACAGACCAATAATAAGCTCCAAATTTGAATCAGTAAAATAAATAGCCTACCAACCAAAAACATTCCAGAGCCCAATGGATTCACTGCCAAATTCCCATTTTTACTGAATTATTCCAAAACTTTAAGGAGGAGAGACTCCTCCCTAACATATTTTGTGAGGCCAGCATCCACCTAATACCAAAAACCTGGCAAAGACACAACAAAAAAAGAAAACTTCAGTCCAATATTTTTGATGAACATCAATGCAAAAGTTCTGAACAAAATATGGGCAAAACAAATCCAGCAGCACATCAAAAAGGTTTATCCAGGCTTTATCCCTGGGATGCAAGGTTGACTCAACGTATGTAAATCAATAAATGTGGTTCATGACATAAATAGAATTAAAGATAGAAAACACAGGATTATTTCAATAGATACAGAAAAGGCTTCCAATGAAATTCAATAGTGCTTCATGGCACGGTGGCTCACGCCTGTAATCCCAGCACTTTGGGAGGCCAAGGTGGGTGGATCACAAGGTCAAGAGATCGAGACCATCCTGGCCAACATGGTGAAACCCTGTCTCTACTAAAAATACAAAAATTAGCTGGGCATGGTGGTGCGCTCCTGTAGTCCCAGCTACTCAGGAGGCTGAGGCAGGAGAATCGCTTGAACCTGGGAGGTGGAGGTTGCAGTGAGCCGAGATCATGCCACTCCACTCCAGCTTGGTAACAGAGGGAGACTCCATCAAAACCAAAAACCAAAACAAAAAAAAACCTCTCAATAAATTAGGTATTGAAGGAACATACCTCAAAATAATAAAAGCCATCTACGACAAGCTCACACCCAAGATCATACTGAATGGGAAAAAGCTGGAAGCATTCTCCTTGAAAACTGGCACAAGACAAGAATGTCCTCTCTCACCACTCTTATTTAACATAGTATTGGAAGTTCTAACCTGGGCAATCAGGCAAGAGAAAAAGCTAAAGGGAATTAAAACAGTAAAAGAGGGAGTCAAACTATCCTGGTTGCAAATGACCTGATTCTATATCTAGAAAATCTCATAGTCTTGGCCCAAAAGCTCCTTAAGCTAATAAACAACTCCAGCAAAGTCACAGGATAACAAAATCAATGTACAAATATCACTAGCATTCCTATACATAAACAGCAGTCAAGGTGAGGGCCAAATCAAGAACACAGTCCCAACCACAATAGCCACAAAAAGAATAAAACACATGGGAATACAGCTAATCAGAGAGGAGAAAGATCTCTACAATGAGAACTACAAAACACTGCTCAAAGAAATCAGACATGGCACAAATGGAAAAGCATTCCCTGCTCATTGACAGGAAAAATTAATATTGTTAAAATGGCCATATTGCCCAAAACGATTTATAGATTCAATGCTAGTCCTATCAAACTACCAATGACATTCTTCACAGAACTAGAAAAAAAACTATTTTAAAATTCATATGGAACCAAAAATAACCTGAATAGCCAAGGCAATCCTAAGCAAAAAAAAAAAAAAAAAAAAAAAAAAGCTAAAAGTGTCATGTTACCTGACTTCAAACTATACTGTAGGGCTACAAGAACCAAAATAGCATGATAGTTGTACAAAAACAGGCACGTAGACCAAAAGAACAGAATAAAGAACCCAGAAAAAAGGCCATACCCCTACAACTATCTGACCTTTGACAAAGTCAACAAAAACTAGCAATTGGTTAAAAAAAAAAAAAAAAAAAAACTCTGGTAAGTGGTGCCAGGATAACTGGCTAGCCATATGCGGAAGATTGAAACTGGACCATTTCCTTACACCATATATGAAAATCAACTCAAGATGGATTAGAGACTTAAACATATGACTCAAAACTGTAAAAATCCTGGAAGACAATGTGGACAATACTATTTTGGACATGGAACGGCAAATGTTGTATGACAAAGATGCCAAAAGCAATTGCAACAAAAGCAAAAATTGACAAATGGCATCTAATTAAACTAAAAAGTTTCTGCACAGCAAAAGAAACTGTCAATAAACAGGCAACCTACAGAATGGGAGAAAATTTTTATAAAATATGCATCTGACAAAGGTCTAATAAGTATCTACAAGGAACCTAAACAAATTTACCGGAAAAAAAACAGCCCATTAAAAAATGGACAAATGACATGAACAGACACTTTTAAAAAGAAGACATATATGTGACCAAGAAGCATATAAAAAAAAGCTAAACATCACTGATAATAAGAGAAATGCATATCAAAACCACAAGGAGCTACCTTCTCATACCAGGTAGAATGGCTGTTATTAAAAAGCCAAAAAGTAACAGATGCTGGAGAAGTTGCAGAGAAAAGGGAACACTTATATCCTGTTGGTGGGAGTGTAAATGAGTTCAACCATCATGGAAAGCTGTGGCAACTCCTCAAAGACCTAAGAACAGAACTACCATTCGATCCAGGAATCCCATTACTGGGTATATACCCAAAGGAATATAAATTATTCTGTGATAAAGACACATGCACACATATGTTCACTGCAGCACTATTCACAATAGCAAACATATGGAATCAACCTAAATGCTCATCAGTAAGAGACTGGATAAAAAACATGTGATACATATGCCATGGAATACTATGCAGCCATAAAAAAGGACAAGATCATGTTCTTTGCTACATGTTCTCACTTATAAATGGGAGCTAAATAATGAGAACACATGGACATACAGAGGGGAACAGCAGACACTGGGGCCAGAGTGTGGGGGGTGGGATGAAGGAGAGGATCAGGAAAAATAACTAATAGATACTAGACTTAATACTTTGGTGATGAAGTAATCTGTACATCAGACCCCCATGACACAGTTTACCTGTATAACAAACCTGTACTTATACCCCTGAACTTAAAAGAAAAGTTAAAAAGAATTAAACCACTTTGATGTAGTTCAGCTCATGAAATGTTTAATGAAGGAAAACTACATGTCATCTAAATAGTTACAGAAAAGAATTGCTAATAGGTGTTATCTATTTCTTTTATTATTAACAAAATATAGGTTTTTACTCAGGAGCCAGGTTATACTGTTGGGTCAGAAAAATAAAAACAAAACAAAACAAAACAGGAGGTTTACTTTGGAGCACGATTAACCATATGAGCTAATATCTTATCCAGAAAGCCTTAGCCAAAACATTGCCTTCTCATTGGCAAGGATAGAAGGCACATCACTGAAGTTTACAAGTACAGCAGAGAAGAGTGAGAGACTGGGAAGAGATGTTCTTAGAAAGCCAAATGGAGGGAGAAAGATGTCAAAAGAAGACAGGCAATTCTGTTAAGCAAAACAAAGCAAAATTAAAAACCCAAAACAACCTAATCAGGAGGAGAAGGCAGAATGTTGAAAGAAATTAAAGGCCTCAATTTGAAGAATCTGCAGGGAATTTGGAGAGAAGGTGAAGTATAATAGTAAAGGCAGTGAGCAAGTGGTTTAGTCTACAAACTACAGGGTTGGCAAAGGAGACAACACATCTTACTGAAAATACTGGAGTGGTAGTGATGGTGGTTGGAGTCATGCTTCTCAAGCTGTGATCCAAAAAATACCTACTTGAGATTCACTTGGATTTCTATCAAGCAAGCATTTACCAATGCCCTTCTCCTCCCTTTCAACGTGACTGAGTCAGAATGCTGAGTAGTGAAAGATTTCAGGAAATGTGCTTCTTTAACAAACAGCCAGGAGGATTCTGATATCCATCAAATTTTGATAATTTCTGACTTAGATATTCCTAGTTAACTGGTCTCTTGTTTTTGTCCATCCCACTGAAGTTGGTAACATGGATAATAAATGTCGGAACAGACAAGAGACAATAGGAGATTGTACAATTTCTTATGCTATTGATTATTTGAAAGTTAACATTTCTATCTTTTGTATATTAATTATTTTAACTTTTTTGTGCCCCTAGGGCTTAAAAATATACTCATGGTCTAATATCATGCATCAGCTTTTGTTTTTTATAATGTTTCAAAGGTACACATATACAAATGAGGAATATTTATATAATTTTTATTCTATAACTTCTGTGCAGAAAAAAAGGGAGGATATTATAAGAGGTATTAAGTAACTATTACACAATCCTGTGTTTCTGTATTTATACATTATTTAAGAAATGAAAAACCCTGGAATTAAATGATATTGTTCACATAATATTTTGCTTTATAAAATCTTTTAAGATTAATAGAAGTGAATATAGATAAAAATTGTGGGGGTGTTTTTATCCAGACTATAACAACAAGTCTTGCTTGTTTTGAATCTTTTTGACATATTTTAAGAAAGAGTTCATCTGATTTTGCTCAAATTAATCTTTCTCTTGCTTAGCAAAGTCAATTGATTAGGGACCTCAATTACATTACATAATCTCTTTTACATAACATAATAATGTGAATATTTCATCATATTCATAAGTACCACTCACACTCAAGGGGAGGTTATTATAGAAGGTATGTACATAATGCTGCAGGAAACTTGGGGATCATCTCAGAATTCTGCATACCACAGGAAGGAATCAAAATAAAAGGGTGCTAGTTGCAAACTCAGAAGTGGCTTTAGATTCGCACAAGTAAGTTGCCTGAGCAGGTTTTCCCAATGTCCAAGAATGACTCAACCAAGAGTGACTTTAACAGAGGAGGATCTTAATAATCTGGTAGACAAGTTGACCAGTTCCATAGATGTCAATCAGCTTCTTTTCCAAGTCTTAACCCGTGCAGTGGTCTAATTAGCAAAGCGTTCATGTCAGTAGGGTTGGAGGTTAAACTCGGGCTAAATAATATGGACTTCTACACACCACAGATGATCTACTAATAGCCACTGCTTCGTATCTAATCTGCCAATCACAGAGACCAACACTGTCACCTGAATATAGAAAAATTTTCTTGGAGGGATCAGCTTGCTACCTAGTATAAGTGTGATTACATTGGACAAAATTCATTCTGGAAAGAATAGCACTGTGCTCGCACTTCAACAGGCATTTATACAAGATATGCATGAATTTCCCTCTCTTGCCAATAATCCTTTTTCCAAAAACCACCATCTGTGGACTTACAGGCATGTAATTCCATATAATATTGTAAGACAGCAAATGAAATTCTTCAACTGACCCATGTTTATGAAATGCCCTGGACATATTGTGTTTCCTATCTTTTAAATCAGCTGTCTTGATATAAACGAGGAATGCCCTTATGAAGAATCAATTATGGCAATAATTTTATGGTAATGCATCACAGGACTAGGCTAATATCCTCCAGATGATGTTACATGGTTGTAATTGGTGGTGTTATTCCCATTGCTGTATTTCAAAGGTTTGGGGTTGAAGAAGTAGAAATGTGAGTGACTTACCTCACTACTGTCTCTAGTGCTCAAATGACAAAAATTTTGCTTTTTATCTCTGCAAATTTGGGCCCGGACAATCTAAGTTTTTAGTTTCTTTAAGTGGAAATTTGGAATTTAATCTATTCAGAGAACAGAAAGAGACTATTGTGGCTCTAGTATCATAAATGAGGAAAAAGTAAAAACGAGGTTAGAAAAGAAGACAGTGATCAGATCATGTAAGACTTAATTTTTGTCCAGGTAAGTAATTTTAACATTATACTAAATAAATGTTAAAGTTGTTAAAATATTTTCAAATTTATTCACATCTTAAATAATGGGAATTTGAATAAAATTATTACTGTAACCATTGTGAAGAAAATGTACTATTAACAACAAGGGTGAAAATAGGTGGTCCATTGATATCGTAACTTCCAAGGTAAGAGTTGCAGGCTTAGATTATGGTGGAAGTAGTAATACAAGGTAATAATCACAGTTCTTGCCAATGAAAATTAGCAGTAGAAAAATCTTTAGTCATTAATGTTTAAGACATTAATGGAGTTTTAAAGACACTTTCTTTTGAAGCAGACAGTTCATAGATAAAAGCTAAAATATTTATGAATTTTAAATTTTATAACTAAATTATGATTTATATGTAAAAGGTGGGCAAGATCACTAAAAAATCTAGAAGGAAATAAATTTCCACTACTACAATTAGACAGATAAATGGCTGGTGAACTGCCAAAAGGTATCCCCTGGCCAAGGTGGTTCCAGAATAAATCATGAGAGCTAGAGCCTGTCTTTCATGTAAGCCAATCTGTGAGAATATGTAATAAAAGAAAATATCACTGAAGAGTACATTAGAAGAAAAAAAGTGTGGTTTCTATCGGACACAATCATGATGGACCAAACCATTAGTCATTTGAGGGAGTAAATATGTATGGAATAATGTATTCAAAGTTCCAGAATATCTTGGCTAACATTTTATAACTGATGCCATTTAAACAATGGTGTCACCATGATATTGATATGAATGCATTGTAATAATTTGAACTATTGAAGATATAAGAGGCAATGGGAAGAAACCAATGAATGAACCAGTAACTTGGCTGTTTCCTCCTTTTGCAGGAGATGGTGGCTAAGCTTCATGTGCTCAATTTGTTTTTCAAAAATAATAAAAAAAGTTTATAATTCTGAAAGGGTTATACTTATGCAAAGTGAAATGTTCAGTGTGATCCCTAACTAATCACTTTTGAGGCAGTTATAATTCAATACATAGTAGAGTGATTAATGAAAGGATGAGAGAACAGCTTATACAATCTTCACATTTGTAGATGGTATAAAAACCTTTCCATCACTAAAGGGTCAAATTAATGGAGATAAACTTACTGAGCCTTTAAAATTTGAAGGAGGTGGAATAAGACTGCTGAATAGAACCCTTCAGAGATCATCCTTGACCCCCAGGCAGGAATACCAAATAGAACAACTATCCATGCAAGAAAATGTCTTCATAAAAAATGAAAATTAGGTGAGTGAACACAATTTTTGGTTTTAACATAAGATAAAGGAAAGGGGCACTGGAGAGGGTAGGAAAGACAGCTGGAATTGCCTATACCGCCCCTTCCCTGTCCCTCAACAGGACAGTGTGATGTGGACAGAGAAACTGCGTACTTGAGAGAGAGCAAAGTGATTGTGATTTCTCATTGAAACTTAGTATTACCCTAATACCAAAACTAGACAAAGAGACTCAAAAAAAAAAAAAAAAAAAAGAAAACTACAGGTCAATATCTCTGATGGACATTGATGCAAAAATCCTCAACAAAATACTAGCAAGCTGAATTCAACAATACATTAAAAAGATCATTATCATGAGCAAGTAGGAATTATCCCAGGGATGCAAAGATGGTTCAACATACACCAATCAATGTGATACATTGTATCAACAGAATGAAGGACAAAAACCATATGATCATTTCAATTGATGCTGAAAAAATATTTGATAAAATTCAACATCCTTTCATGGGAATAACCCTTAAAAAACTGGGTATAGAAAGAACATACCTCAACACAATAAAAACCATATACAACAGATCCACAGCTAGTATCATACTGGACAGGGAAAACTGAAAGCCCTTCTTTTAAGATCTGGAACACAGCAAGGATGGCCACTATTACCACCGTTATTCTATATAGTACAGGAAGTCTCAGCTAGAGTAATGATGAGAGAAAGAAATAAAAGACATTCAAATTGTTAAAGTAGAAGTCAAATCATCCTTGTTTGCAGATGATATAATCTTATATTTGGAAAAATCTAAAGAGTCCACAAGAAAACTCTTATAACTGATAAGCAAATTCAGCAAAGTTGCAGAATACAAAATCAACATACAAAAACTCAGTAACATTTCTATATGCCAAAAGCAAGCAATCTGAAAAATAAGAAAGTAATCTCACTTACAATAGCTACAAATAAAATAAAAAAACCTAGGAATTAACCAAAGAAGTAAAAAATCTCTACAATGAGAGCTATAAAACATTGATGTAAGAAATTGAAGAGGACATAAAAAGTGGAAAGATATTCTATGTCCATGAATTGGAGGAATCAAAATTGTTAATACGTTCATACTACCTATAGCAATCTGGAGGTTCAGTGCAATTCTTATAAAAGTACGAATGACATTCTTCACAGGAATAGAAGAAACAATCCTAAAATTTATATGAAACCATTAGAGCCCCAGCATGGTAGTGGCACAAAAATAGACACATAGACCAATGAAAGAGAATAAAAACCCCAGAAATAAATTCATACATCTACAGTGAGTTCACTTTCAACAAAGGTGCCAAGAACGTACATTGGGAAAAGAACAGTCTCTTCAGTAGTGCTGGAGAAATGATATTTATATGCAGAAGAATGAAATTAGAACCTTATCTCTTGCCATATAAAAAAATCAAATCAAAATGTATTAAAGGCTTAAATCTAAGACCTCTAACTATAAAACTACTAAAAGAAAACATTAGGTAAATGCTTCAGGGTCTTGGTCTTGGCAAATATTTTTCTAGTAATACCCCACAAGCACAGACAACCAAAGCAAACATGGGCAAATAGGATCACATCAAGTTAAAAACCTTCTGCACAGCAAAAGAAATAATCAACAACATGAAGAGATAACTCATATAATGGAAGAAGACATTTGCAAACTACCCATCTGACAAGGGATTAATAATCAGAAAATATAACGAGCTCAAACAACTCTACAAAAAAAATCTAAAAATCCAATTTAAAATGGGCAAAAGGTCTGAATAAACATTTCTCAAAAAGAGACATACAAATGGCAAACAGATATTTGAAAAGATGCTCACCATCATTAATCATCAGAGAAATGCAAATCAAAACTCCAAGATGTCATCTCACCCCAGTTAAAATGGCTTTTCCCAAAAGATAGGAAACAACACATGCTGGCAAAGGATGTGGAGAAAGTGGATATCTCATACACTGTTGGCAAGCATGTAAATTAGTAGAGCCATTATGGAGAACAATATGGATGTTCCTTAAAAAACTGACAATAGAACAACCATATGATCCAGCAATCCCACTGCTAAGTATATACCCCAAAGAAAGGAAATCAGTATATCAAAGAGATATCTGCACTTCCATGTTTGTTGCAGCACTATTCACAATAGCCAAAATTTGAAATCAACCTAGAAGTCCATCAACAGATGAGTAGATTAAAAAAATTGTGGTATATATACACAATGGAGTACTAATCAGCCATAAAAAATAATGAGATCCTGTCATTTGCAACAACATGGATGGAACTGGAAGGCATTATGTTAGGTGAAATAAGCCAGGCACAGAAAGATAAACTTTACATGTTCTCATTCATTTGTGGGAACTAAAAATTAAAACAATTAATTTCATGGAGATAGATCATAGAATGATGGTTACCAGAGGCTGGGAAGGGTAGTGGTAGAAGGGAAATGCAGATGATTAATAGGTACAAAAATATAAAAATATAGTTACATACTATAAATGAGATATAGTATTTGATAGCATGGCAGAATGACTATAGTCAAATGTGCAATAACGTGTTGCACATTTTAGAAAAACTAAAAGAGTGCAATTGGAATGTTCATAACACAAAAAATTAAAGATGCTTGAGGTGACAGAAACCCCACTTACTCAAATATAATTATTACACATTTCATGCCTGTATCAATACATATCATATATCCCATAAATATATAGACCTACTACATACCCATAAAAATTAACTATAAGACAACTTTTAACAATTTAGTAAAATACAGTGAAGTCAAGCTTCATTGTAGAGGTGTTTCCATATAAGGATAATCATTAAAATTTAGGAATCCTTTAGAGAAACACAAGATCTCAGAGAGGACGTAGCTGAAGATCAAGACATCACGAAGGACATGTATAGGGTAAATAAGTAAAATTTCCCCAGATTATAAACAAATATTTCCCAGAATGAAAGCCACTACTTAAAAAAATATATTTTTAACCTAAATATAATAAGTCCATAATAAAATTATAGTGAACTATAGTGTTTTCGTACTTTAAGAAGGTAAAAATAGAAGAAAAGGCTCAAGTAAATTGGTGAGTTTCTGCTTCAGCTACGCATCAAAGGTTTTCTTCTTTCTTTGGGTGAGTACTTTGTGTCTTTTAATTCTCTCGGAGTTCTTTGTCCAGAGTTGACCAAATGCTTAGTTAGGATGAAAGAGTAGTTTATTATCTGGAATTTTTGAGTGTTAAAAGTTACCTGTAAGGAGGAATACGTTTTTCCTACATAATAGGCATATCCAAGAAAGACACTGGAAACCAAGCAGCACCTTTCCTTAAAAAGCTTTGTCTTAAATGAGAAACTGTGAATTACACCTGGCTTGTCAGTTCTCTCCTTTAATCTTGAATGTAGGGGCCACTTGTATTTTCCCTGTTGATTTCTGGGTCACTTAGCATCTTCTCTCTAAGCAATTCTGTGAACGTGCAGGATACATCCAGACCCTTTCTATCAAGATTTACTTTGTTCTAATCTCCATTTACTTTTGTTTCTGTTCTTAACTGAGGTTACTTTCCTTTGGTATTTCTGTCATTGTAAAAGCAAAAGTTTTCTTTCTCATTTATTTCAATATTACCCATATTTCATTTCAATTTGCACCTTTATTTAGCTGTTCCACTCTTATCTCCATGTCTCCAGTCTGAGGCAATTCTTTGTGTTTCTTTTTTTCTTGAATGAGCAGTACTTACTCAAAACCTCTTCTACTCATATTTTCTTTTTAGTATTTAAACCTCGGTGAAATTATGCTGTTTCTTTTTATTCTTAGTTTCTTCCAAAGACCTATCACTTACTTGTCATTTTCAACTTAAACAGTAGGCCTTTAGCTTGCTTAACCAAAAATCCAACCTGTCAAAAATTTTACTTAGGACAATTATTGGCAGATCAAAACCTTATATTTACTTTATAATTACGGCTGCTTAACATCTAAGGATTTGTTTTGTAGAGAGGGGAATAATTTTTTTTCTGATGGCTTTAATTTTCTTATAAAGAAATACTCCTTATAGAAAAGCAGCATGGTTATTTTACTGTCATTCTTGATTTAGTAATAAAAAAGACATGATATTGTAGAAAGAAAATAGACTATGATTCAGACCAAACTTGGTTTAATTCTGGTTTTCTCTCTTGTTAACTATATCATTTCTGTAGTCATCTCTGAGTCTCAATAACTTTATCTGTAAATTTTGCATAACAATACCCACTTTGTCAAATTGTGATAAAAATTGATTGAGATAATGTAAAGCTCCAAGTAGAGTTTTTTAGTAAATTGGCATTAACTATCATAATAAGGCTGTCACCCTCTGATAAAGTTGTAACAGTTTGATATGGAAGGTTGTGTAGACCATCATACATGTTCAAAATAAAGAGTGATTAATTTCCACACAAAATATTAAGAGATGTGTTAAAAGATGGGTAGGAAATGACAAAGATCCAGTGATTGCTCATTTTATAACTATTACAAAGGAATTTTGGGCTTCAGTAACTTTGTGTGTGGAGTAAAGATTTTAGAAAATTACTGATATAAAGAGAAGATTTATTTGCAGAAGGAAAAATACATAAGGTGATGTGAAATACATTTGAGAGATAACCTTGAAGAATTTTTAGGATTAAATATATACGAAAGCAACTAGCAAATTTTTTTAACAGATGTCACATGAAGTAGAATAAGAAAAAGAAACAGTAAGAAGGAAAAAAAGAATACATTTTGGTTTAAACAAGAGAGACATTATTGTAAAGAAAACATTATTTAAAATTTAAAAATAGTAATTTTGTGGCTTATATGAAATTAAATATTTTAACTCATCCTTGACAGAAGCATATCATATTGTAATCAGTTAGCCAGTCAATATTTATTTAATGAAATATGGATTTAAATATGCTGTGTGTAACTTTGGTGTTGGGTCCAAATTTCAGAGTGTTTGTGAATTGCTTTGAAATTCAGTTTGATTTCATGGGTATTACCTTGAGGCATTTTGTAACAGCAAAGATAGATGGAAGCATAACTCATGTTTAACCTCACTCTTCATTGTAATCACCTGTGAGTAGCAGATTTACCTACAGTGCATTTCACACATACACATACACAGTCTTACTTATAATTAATAAGTACCAAAATGAAGCATGCTCATGACAAATGAACTACTCACAAAATTATACCATTTGGTGTAATGACTTGGTACAAGGGATAGGTAATGAACTGTGAAATATGTAGTAAAGCATACATTGCCCATCTCTAATAGATCACGATAGAAGTAAAAACGTAATTTCTTGAGGAGAAATGTAACAGACCTTGTCAAAATACACTTTTGTTATATGTTAAAATTTTGTACCTTCAGGCGGGGCATGGTGGCTCACGCCTGTAATCACAGCACTTTGGGAGGCTGAGGCGGGTGGATCACGAGGTCAAGAGATCGAGGCCATCCTGGCCAACATGGTAAAACCTTGTCTCTACTAAAAATACAAACATTATCTGGGCGTGGTGGCACACACCTGTAGTTCCAGCTACTCGGGAGGCTGAGGCAGGAGAATAGCTCGAACCTGGGAGACAGAGGTTGCAGCGAGCCGAGATTGTGCCACTGCACTCCAGCCTGGTGACAGAGCAAGATTCTGTCTCAAAAAAAAAAAAAAAAAAAAAATTGTACCTTCAATTGTGTTCTAATAGAAATTTGAACAGGAACTCATAAACATACACTGTATTTTTAGTCTAGAGAATGGATACAACGGTAAGATAGAATCAGTCAACTATTAAAATTTTTAGAAATGTTGTGAATTGATGAACATCTCATTAGTAGATTGAAATCACCCATGTTTGAAATAGTTACATTACAACTCATGGCTTCTGCTTCTCCAGAGAACCAGTTGTTAAATATTCACCAGCATATGATTGGTTAAGGAAGTCACACTTTCTAAACTATCAACAAAAAGCATTTACCATTGAGACTGTCCTTCAGTATGTATGCTAATTTTTTAAGATTATGTTTTATAGGTATATATTTATTGCCCAGTCTCAGGTATTTTTTTATAGCAATGCGAGAACAGACTAACACAGAGACCTACATCTTCTCATTTCCCCACTGCCCCTCTCCTGGCAACCACTGTTTTATTCTCTATCTAGGTATATTTAACCTTTTTAAAAAAAATTCCACATATAAATGAGATTTTGCAACTATCAGATAGGTAAATTAATATGAGACTTCTAACAGAAGAAATATTCGTTAGATTATATATATATATTTTAAACGTCAAGTTAAAATATAATTTCCTTTAGAAATCTTTCACTTGGAGACACAGCATTTTGTTCCAGAAACAAATGTTGAATATGCCATCAGTCTAGAAATCCATTTTCATTAGGAAAATACCATGAGGTAAAATTGTTTTGATTGACAGATATTTACATGTGTTACAAATTTTAACAAAGGAAACCATTACTACCTCATGTGAGTTTTATTGGTAATCTGGACCTGGAACATAATTTTACTTTCAAACAAATAATATTAACCACAAAATGCTTCCGGTTAGAAAAATAATAGGATCCAAAATCCTGTGTACTACTGTGAAACATTTAGAATTTGACAACTTTTCTATTTGTCAATTTAACAGTTAAAAAATTTAAGCAAATCATCATCTGACTTAGGTTTTGACAATCAACACTGATTTGACTAATGAGTGGATTGATTGGCATCGATAAAATACGAAAATTTGGAAAATACATATGGATGAAACAGCAAATAATTGTGTAGGACTGAGACTTTGCCATGAATCTCTGTAATTCAGAGGGTGAAAAAAAGTTAAATTATGTTTTTTCAAAGACAGTGTACTATTTACCATTTCTTCCCATGCAGACAGCACTTACATCTTCAAGAATGTATTAGCATCACCTCCTCTACTATGATGGTGAACTCCTTTCTAAATCTTTCAACAATCTTTAAAATTGATGGCAGACATTGATTGATCCACATCCTAGGCCCGCTTATTTCCCTTCCTTCTCTCTTCTGTCCCATAATTTAAGGCACATTTACATTATTTGTGTAGCCCACTGTTTTCTATGTTCCTGCTTCACTAAAATTATTAATTAATAATTCCACTTGTAGCTGTGTCATTGGTGGCAATATTATGCCACCATTCATCTTAAATTTTAAGATATTTTTATGAAGTTTTAAGTGTTTTAGTAATTTTGGGCTGCTATAACAGAAATAACATCAACTGCAGTTTATACGTAACAAACATTTATTTCCCATAGGTCTGGAGGCTGGGAAGTCCAAGATTGAGGGAACTAGCAGATTAGATGTCTAGTAAGGGCCTTTTCCTTGTAGACAGAGAATTCTCACTGCATTTTCATGTAGTATAATGGACAAAGAAAAGCTCCCTTGGGCCGCTTTCAATAGGGCACTAATCACATTAACAAGGGCTCCATCTTCATGGTCTAATCACGTCCTAAATGCTCTATCTCTTAATATTATCGCATTTGGGGTTAGGGTTTCAACATATTAATTTTGGGGGACACAAACATTCAGATCATAGCAATATGTTACTCAGATAAATCTAGGGGGACAAAGTCTCCAACTATTACAAATTGTATATTTTATGGATAAAATCCCTAATTCAGAGAACAATTGTGGTTCTAGTATACAAATAAATCCTTACAATTGAATGCATAGTGTCCTAAGCTTTTTGTGTGTTTAAACTAACTGAATTTTTATAACATCTCTATGGGGTAGTTTTCAGTAACATTCCCATTTTACACATGAAGAACTTGCAGCGTAAGGAAGATGAGTACTTGGTTCCATTGTTAAACAGACATGCAAAAATTCAAAACTAGGAATCTGGCTAAAGAACTCAGGCTCTTGACTGCTATGTTATACAGCATATGTCAAAGGGGTAGATTATCTGAATGCATTTTGGAAAAAGGCACATTTGACAAGCACAAACAAGCAACTTAAATGGAGACATTTTGATTAAAATATACTACTTTATTTGATTAAACCCTGGCAGGGATGCAAGCCGAATCTATGCTTTTGCATCTTTTCTTTGAGGGCCAAATTATCTTATTCTAATATGAACTACACATAACCCCAATATACTGCTTCTTACTTGAAGCTCTAAAAATTATGGTCATAGCAAAATTTCTTGGTTATTATGTTTAAGGAAATATATGGGGGAAAGAAAAGAGAAAGAATGAAAACTCAAGGCAGTGTTGAAGTCTAAGAGAAAAATTACTACTGATTATGTCCTCTTTTGGCTCTTCATATCTACAGCACTTGTGTTCTTTATTGCCACATATGGGGATTTTGATGCTTAGGTAAGAGGGTAATTAGAAGCCTATTTATAAATTACTGTTTAAAGTTGGCAAACTAAAGAAGTTTCTTCCGTCTTCTTCCATCAATCAATCAATCACACACACACACACACACACACACACACACACGCACGAAGAGTAAGAAACAAAGCCTCAAACTCCAGAATTAGTAAAACTAGATCGTATCTGTAACCATAAATAAAAATATATGACAGAATTAGTAAAACTAGATCGTATCTGTAACCATAAATAAAAATATATGAAGGGGAAAGTAGAAAGAATGGTATATTATTTAGCAGAAGACATTTTTTAAAAGTATAGGTGTATAATGAGGGTGATAGTAACAAGAAATAAATCATTTGTAATCATACTGTAGAAAAGCTTGGAAGTTGGAGACATCCCATATGAGAGAAGCTATACTTGTTGGAAATCTGTATAAGAAACAGTTACATTCCCCAGTTCTTTAATTCCACTCTATGACTTCTGACTGGTAACTCACAAAAGACAGCAACTGAACCAAAATATATCCAAACATGGAGATAGCAAGAAAAGGGATGAACAGTTAGAAACACTTGGTTTTAAGTAGGGAATTTCAGAGAAGATCAGCATATTAACTAGTGTGACCCATTTTTTCTTCACCCCTTTCCCATCATACAAAAAGTCAGAAACCAAGCTTACAGCCATGCAGGCAGGAGAGAAGAGAACTCTTATTTGTGGAGAAACCAAAGTGTCTCAAAGTGAGACATGATAAAGTTTGAAGTCCCCCAAGTACAAAACATATTTCACTGCTAGACCAATCACCCTCAATGATCTGAGCGGTTGATAAGCTGTGCCTATCCAAAAAGACCTTCCAGTCAACTTTTCCGTTATTTACTCCTAAATATGAATATATAGCCAGGAATCAACAGACATTTATGGAAAGCTTATAGCAGGAGACTAGAGATCAAAACTAGGAAGCATATAATGGAAACTTCGAGAAAACAGACAATATAGAGAAATTAAAAAAAAAAAACCTCTACATGGAAAACCCAACTCATATTCTCTGTAAGACAAAAGAATATATTTTAGCCTTGAAAGAAGAGCATGATGTTAGAATAAAGAAACAGAGAACAAGGAAAGCCTTTGGAAATTAAAAATATGATAGCTAAAACATAAAATTCAATAAAATTCTTGGGAGATATCATTAAAGAAATTTCACAGGAAATAAAAAGATGAACAAAGACAAGATTAGAAAACTGTGCATCAGTCCAGTGGGTCCAATATCTGAAAAGTAAGTATTCCAGAAAAAAAAAAGAAGCTTTTCGGGAGAAAAATTACCAAAGATATTATGAGAAAAATTATAATAAATGTAAAGTTTATTTTTCCATGTGAAATGTCTTAATGAGAGCACAATGAATAAACATTTCCAATAGGTATTGTGGTAAAATTTTAGGGTATGCAGGGTAAATGGAAGACTAGTAAAAGTATCAGTGGAGAAAAAGTACATTTTAAAAAACAGGAAACAGTGAAATTTGACTTCTCAATAGCAATTTGAGATACTAGAGGACTGTAATACAATAACTTGAATTTCTAAGTAGAATTTAATAAATGGTGAAACTACAAACACATAGGAGAGTATAATAAATAATTGTTCAGGGAAGAAAAGACTGAAAACTTTCCTATCTCTTGCATATCTTTTCAGAAAGCTAATAGAGAATGGCCTCTGCCATAGCAAATATGTAGACTAAGAAAGAGGGAGAAATTGAATTTATGATAAAGTATAAAAAATGTAACAGAAAACAGAAGAAGAGTCTTACTATAATAGATGTCTAGAGAATGAAGATCCTGATTAGATTATGAAGAAAAAATGCTCTAGGGCAGAGTTCTGTATGAAACAAAAGGAATAAATATATTCCAAATAGTTGGTTCATGCAGAAAATTATATGACTCAAAAATTGCAAATAAAAATATTAGGCAATTATTAATTCAAAGAAAATAGAAAGTCACACAGGAAAATAGAAAGTAATCACAGACATTACTTGGCTATAGGTTATAATAACACATACATTGATTATTGCTTCAAACAACTGAATTGAGAGGATTTGGGAAGAGGAGGAGTGCATAAGAGATAATATGTGTTTTCTAGAATAGGAAGTCCAGAGGAAAAAAACCAAAACTGATATGGCATAAAAGACCTTTGTTTTCAATTAGCTGTTTTCACTGGTCAGGAGTGATAGATTCTATCTGGATCCACTAATAACATATTGACTGTGTTTCAATTGTAGAACAAATTTGTTGCTTCCTTCTTTTTTCTTTATATTGAAACCATTGGCCCTGAGCTGAACCTATTCATTGTCTTTCAGCACTTCCAGCATAAAAGCTAGTCTTAGGACCAATAATGGGGCTAGTTATCAATTATTTAACAAATATCAATTATTTAACAGACATTATTTAACAATAATATCTGTTTTTGATGTTGCTATAGGCATTAAATTTTATACAAATTTCTCTACGTTATAGTCTGACAGATCTTGTCAAGGAGCTGTACATTTATTCACCAGTCAACAATATCTTAGATAGTTTGGGCATTTGTCAGGGTTCTCCAGAACCAATAAAGAAAAGTGAGAGTGAGAATGAGATAGATTTATTGTGAGGAACTGGCTTACAGAATTATGGACACTGACAAGTCCCACAATCTGCCATCTTAAACTGGAGACCCCAGAAAGAAAATTGTGCAGTTTAGTCCCAGTACAAAGGCTTGAGAACAAAGGGAACTGATGGTGCAAATTTCAGTCCAAGGGCAGGAAAAGTCCAGTGTTTCAGTTCAACAGTCAGGCAGATAGAAAAAAGGGAAAAGTCTCATTTCTTTTGCCTTTTGTTCTATTCAGGCCCTCAACAGATTGGATGATGCTCACCCACATTGGGGAGGGCAATATGCTTTACTGAGTGCACAGATCTCAAATGCTAATTTCCGCTGGAAACACCCTCACAGACACACCCAGAAATAATGATAGCCAAATATCAGTGCATGCTGTGAGCCAATCAAGTTGATATCTAAAATTAACAGTCACGCATTCTAATGTCAAACTTTATCTCTAGAAGACTTTACCTCATAAGGCCGGCTATCCTATCATACTAATGAGATGTATGATTAATTTTCAAAAAGGGTAAATGTTTTTGTACAAAGGTTATAACACAATACAGATAATTGTAAGTGATATCTCCAAGTATGATCAACATCTAGTTTTTCCTTTTCTTCCTATGGCTAGATAAGGACATGACTTTTGGCCAAAGACATAATTCCCTGTCTATTTCTCTTTATGATTAATTACATAGCAGTACTCCTATCACAATAATTGGTTTTTCTTTTCTTTTTGAGACAGGGTCTCACTATGTTGCCTAGGCTGGAGTGCAGTAGTGCAATCACAACTCACTGAAATCTCAACCTCCTGGGCTCAAGTAATCCTCCCACCGCAGCCTCTCAAGTAGCTGGTACTACAGGCATTCCCCACCACACCAGGCTAATTTTTGTATTTTTTGTAGAAATGTTGTCTTCCTATGTTGCCCAGGCTGTTCTGGAACCCCTGGGCCCAAGTGATCCTCCAACCTTGGCCTCCCAAAGTGTTGGGATTACAGGTGTGAGCCACCATGCCTGGCCTGATTGAACTTTTTAATGATGTATGTTAATGATATAAATTTAACTGTGTTAAATTTAAATTTACTTATATTATCTCCTTTTAGTTATTTATTGTATAAGATAGCAAGCACAAACTTCAATAATGAAGTTTGTTTAGTGAAATAATGTTCAAGTAGGGCAAGTGCTAAGAGAGGATGAAAGAGAAAACTGAAGTGGTCTGTTTTTGTGCCACAGTTGAAAACCTTGCTCATGCTCACTGCTAAAAGAAGGAGAAGAAATAGTGAATGTCACAGATACCAGCAAGAGAACACTTTGAAGATAAATACAAGCGGGTGGTCTAGGTGTTTTTAGTTTGTTTTTTTTGTGTGTTTGTTTTTACATTCTAAAACTCAAGTGTGATTTAATAAATAAATAAACATGGTATTTTATTTTTTGTTAGTTTTTAAAAATTATTATGGATACATAATAATGGTATATCATTTTGGAGTACGGGTGATGTTTTGATAAAGGCATATAACGTCTATATGTTTTAAAATATCTACAGTTAAAGGAATCCAGGAGCATCTGTCTATATTAAATCCTTATAAACTCTTCCTTAGAATAGTTATCACTACTATTCTTATTACTATTAGTATTATTATTACTGGGCAAGAGTGAAACAGTCATGTAAATAACATGTGTCAAGAAGTTTCCAGGGTGGGAGCTGGAAAGGCGAACTTGGCTTGATCACTGGTCAATGAAAATATATTTAGCTGATGAACACGCGTCATTATGCCTATTTTTCTTCTCTAAATAAGTTAGAATACCATATCAAAGATATTTAGAACCAGTATTTTAAAGCATAGACTTATAAGAATGTAAAATGTACCAGTGATGAATGAGTATATAACTGTGTTCAATATTGTTCCTCAGTAATATCTTTATAAAATAATTGTCATACACAAGAATTATTTGTGGTTCTCATTCATTGCCCTCATTTAAATGCATTCTTCTGTGTATTAAAAGACTTTCATTTTAGAATACGTTCCTGGGAGATTTATTAATCAATACTCCGTCCATTCTATGTTATTATATCAAAGGATTCTTGCCTCCAATTCCTTTTTTTCAGAATAAAGGAAGATAGAAATAAAATATTTCAGGATTCAGCTAATCTCTAAAAATAATGCTGAATAAAACAAGAATAACCTTTAAAGAATGCATCACTGATGGCATACCAAATATTAGCAATAATAAAACATTTAAAAATCTATGCTTTAATAAAAAATGAATCACAATAAAGTCAGAGAAGACTTTATTATAAAATATTCTCTCAGTATTACATTTCTTACCCTGCTTTCATTCACATTCCTCCTGTGGCGGTTAACAATCCTTAAAGCTTTAACAATTCTGGTTTTCTTTTTTATAATTTTAGACAACATTAAAATCCTTAACTTTTTGGCAAGGTAAATGTTCTGTGATTTTTTTCTCAATACAATTAAATTTAATAAAATTTTAAAAATACGTACACATATATACGCACACACATATACAGGTAAATTCACAGATACATTTATGTATGGGTGCATATACATGTGCATATGTATATATATTTAAAGGCATATATGTATATATAATCTGATTTTGGATGTGTGTGCATTTGGAGATTTAGAAAGCATATGTGTCTCAAATAGAGAATTCACTCTTCAGTGCAGTAGGAAATGTGGGTTCGAGCTATTTCTGTTCATTAATAATAACAACTCTCATTGTCTGGTCATTTAATACGTAGGAGGCATTCTAAGAAAATTTACTTATCTCCTTTAATGTTTATAATAAGTCTGTGGAATACGCATTATTCCTATATGTTGAACCATAGTGTGAAAAGAAAATTACCCATGATTTTACTCAGCAAGACCACTGTAGTTAGATTTTGAAGTCAGCATCTGTTATTAAAAAAAAAGACCACTTAAGCCCCTCAATATACCATTTTGTTCAATATGAAGCAGCAATAAATCAAGTGAATATGGAGTCTTCAAAAAAGCAAACATATACTATATAAAAAATGGGAAAGGAGGTAACATATATCAAGCATTGATATTACAAGAGTTGGGCTACCTTCTTGAAAAACATATGGATCAATTTTCACAAGAGATAAAAAATGTGTTACAAGGAAATAAAATATGGTGATATTCTAATGACTTCCCTTGAACACAACAAATCAAAAAGCTCTGAACTGATATAACCAAATAAAACATGAAAAATAAGGGAATAGGTAGATCCCATGCTACTATCACTTCTCTATGACATTCGTAGTAATTCTGTTTTCGAATGTAAAATGAAACTTTTGACTGGATGGTGGAAATTCTTTGTTGTTTTTGTTGTATGTACTTCAACTGGCATTGCTTACTGCTATTTCTGTCATGATAAAAATTGTAAACTACTTCAAAATCTTTAGCCATACGGGTTCCTAGGTGAATTTTGGAAAACTTTAAAACTGTCACTTACTCTATAGTCTTAACATTTAGCCTTCACTAATAACTGGTAAATGTGTCTTTTTTCTACAGCTGCACAGATATAGACCCTCTTGAATGCCATTTTAGCCATCTTCCTTTCTCTGTGATTTTTGTGTAAAACTCTCATCTATGGCCTTCAAACTAACTTAGATAAGTCAAATTCAAAATTGGTGGAAAGATTAAGTAAAATGCAAACTAATGAGGCAGTAAGACGGACATTTCTCAATTCTGTTCCTACCCTTGGTTAGTCAAATTATTATTATTATTAAATTATTAAATTATTATTGCAGAGAAATTCTAGTTAGTCAAATTATTATTATTAAATTATTATTAAATTATTATTGCAGAGAATCTTGAGGACATGATACTTTTATGACTAATTAACAATTTCAGGTCAAACCTGAGACTCTATTTCTGATCATTATTGACTAGCTGGTATCAGACCAATCATACTGTCAACAGCAATTAGAAAAGTTGGAAAAAATGCAAAACATCTGTCTGAAGACTGTAGAAAGCTACCCAACGAGATAGGCCTTGAGAATTATAGAGTTCTGAGGGTAGTTTAGAGGTTGAACCATGTCCCCTCAATTCATGTGTTCAAGTCCGAACCCTCAGTACCTCCCAATATGAACTTACATGAAAATAGTCATTGCAAATGTAATTAAATTAAGATGTATTCCTTTGAGAATAAGGAGGGTACCTATTCTGATATAACCATTGACCTTAAAAGAAGGGAAATTTAGAAACAGACACACAGGGAGAATGTCATGTGAAAATGAAGACAGATATTAGAGTGATGCTTTTATAAGCCAAGGAATACCAGATTGCCAGAATAACCAGAAGTTACAAGAGAGGCCTGAAACATACTCTTCCTGTGGTAGGAGGCAGGGACTCGACTCCGCTCAATATTGAAGACTAGCAGGGAAGAGGCAAAACACCTCTCCATAAGACATGCCCGTCAGTGTCATGTCAGTTTACCATTGCCATGGCAACACCCAGAAGGTACTACCCCATTCCATGGCAATGACCCAAAAGTACCACCATTTTTTTGAAAAATTCTGAAAAACTTGCCCCTTAATTTGCATGTAATTAAAAGTGGGTATAAATATGACCGCAGAACTGGCCCCGAGCTGCTACTCTGGGCACACTGCCTGTGGAGGATCCCTAGTACACATGGGGCAGTACCTCTGCTGCTGCTGAACACTGCTGCTTCAGTAAAGGTTGCCATCTAACACCACTGGCTCACCCTTGAATTCTTTCCGGAACACACCCAAGAACCCTTGCAAACTAAGTCCCAATTTTGGGGCTTGCTTGCCCTGCATCATTGCCTCACAACTCTCAGAAGAAATCAATCCTCCACACCTTGATCTTAGACTACTAAACCCCAGAACTGTAAGATAACTAACTTCTATTCAGCTAGCAAGTGTATGGTACTTTCTTAAGGCAGCCCAAGCAAAGTACTGCAAGTAGGGAAGCACATTGTGGTGCTGTTTTGCCTCAAAACGTTTCTTCATAAATAATAACGCAAGACCAGAAAGTCAAAACAGCTAAGCAGAAAGCAATAACTAAGATACTGGAAAACGAAGCCAAGTTTTTAGCAGTCATGTTACTGGAGAGGCAAAATTTGGTATTCTATCTTCCCAGACAGCCAGATTTGAGGGGCCAAAGTTCAGGAGAAACAGGAAACACATTGACATCGTATAGTGCCTTTCCTTTCAAGACATTTGAAGATTTGTCTGTGGAGTAAGAGAAGAGCCAAACAAAGCAGCAGAGTTGCTAAGAAGCCAAGCCAAGCTTTTGACAGTCTTCACAATGCTGGGCAGCCCCCAGGAAATGGGTGCGTTTTAAGATCCTGAGAGAAGCACTGTGAAAAAATATATCAAACTTTCAGTTATAGATCTATGATAGAAGTTAGATAAACAGGAAATAGAAAATTTCTCAAGTTTCAAAATTTGCTCAATTCCAGATGAAAATTACTCTAGTTTTCCCTATTTTAACTTTTGGTCATTAAAAAAAAAAGGGAGTACATCTTTTCTGGAAGAACATACATTGACCAGCATTTCTGTAAATTCTGATAGAGTATTCTCAGCATTCAAGTAAAATGTAACAGGAAAGTTAGAAAACCAAAACGTTAAATAATAGAAACAGATAGACTTACAGCTCATCCAGATATTGGAATGATCAGGTATAGAATTTTATAAAATCTTGATTAATAAAATGACAATATGAAGAATGTCTCTAGAGAATTGGGAAACATGAAATAGATTTATCGAATACCAAACATTATATTTCAATTTTATCAACAGAAATTTTTCAGTGAAAACAAAATTATGTGTTTTCTTATACAAGAAGTATAAGACCATTATTTTATTTTATAAAGAATAGTCTGAAGTATAATTATTTAAGTTACCTAAACATTTTCATCAAGTATTTCTCTAGGCATATCTCTACTGAGATGTATAAAAAACACATTAGGTACTCAATACTTAATGTCAAGAAATAAATGAATAAATAAATGGCTTTAAATAAAAATATTTATTCATGTTCAGAAATTAATGAAATTCTAAAACATCTTATAAAAGGAAAAAGGAGAAAAAGTCCTGAAAGAAAGAATGAAATGATGAGTTTCTTAGACCATGCAACTTAATTCCATTTTAGGTCGAAATTAAGACATAAACTGCCTGCAATCCCCAAAACACACTTGTAGATTACAGCAACCAGCTCTCATTTATTAGTTTTTGCCTTTCTGAATGGAAATGTTGGTTAACTTTCCTCTATGCATCCTTGTTTGCTCTTGTGCTCATTTATCTCCAAGTACCATTCCCTGGGCAGCATCTAGCAGCTTGAAGTTGACCAAGTTCTATCTACTGCCCTACACTTGAACACTACCCATGCTTCAATGACCAAACCAAAATACGGCTCCTTCAGGAGCTTTCCTTGATGTCCCCAGCTGGAGCTGATCCCTTCTTCCTCTGGATCTTCTGGCATTTGGTCCCTTTGTTATGGTGCTGACTGAGTCCATCGCCATTTCCTCAAATGCCTTTCTAGTTGAATATTAAACAGGACCTCTACTTCAGAAGAAATGTATCCCTTTCATAATATCTAATTCTTATATATCATGGTTAGAGATGAAAACATTTTACTGTAAAGCATACGTTAATATTCTTTAATTCTAGAGCTATTTTTCTATAAAGTATATATAAAGTTAGAAACAGAGAATTGCAAAGGACAGGGCTATATATTTGCTTTTCAATGAAAAATAAGTGTTTGTCGGTTTGGTACAAAAGTCTTAAGAGTTCAGAAGTGTGAACAAGTTAAAAATTACATAAAGGGGGAAATGATCACAGAGAAATTTTGAGAGGTAGTGGTAATGGCAGTGAAGGTGGTGGCGGTGAATAATTAAGTCAGTACATTTATGGAACAGTAAGTGTGTGATTAATAAGAGATGAACTACGTATTCAAAAATATTTCACATTTGAATCTTTTCTGATATAGGACTTTATTTTCTAGAGTCCACATAAAGACACTCCAAATGGCAAAGTCCACTCAGAAAAGATGTTTGAACAGAAAGGCAAAATATGGAATAACACATACAAAACTTAAGAGGAAATATAAAATGAGAAAAGACGACTAAAACTTTAATCTATTTAGTTTTAGTTCTTTGTTCTGTCAAAATTATTTTTATGGGTGAGGACAAGGCAGGGTAAAGCAGCATGAAAACCGGATTGTGAATTCTCTTTAGAAAGTCGGGATAATGATAGTTTACCTCGGACCAAATCTGATAGTTAGCAGGACTTTTCTCCTCAGCGAACAAAGGTCTCTCTCTTCAGTGTGAGGGCCTAACTAATGCGGAGTTTATGATAGACAATGAATGTTGATTCATCCCTCTCCTGCAAATTCAGGACACATCTGTGCTATTTCTAATATAAATTACATTCATCAGAGATTCATTTATCCCAAGTAAAGTGTTTTGAGGTCCTGTAAAAAAGCAAGTGCCTTGAGATTTCAAAGTCTCTAGTTCAAGTCCCAGTAGAAGGGAGATCTGTTTTTTCTTAGACAGTGAAAATTGTTCCTGGAAAAGAACAGGATTCTCAATCTCTGATACTATATAGTATATACGGGACAGTTAAATATTGTCTTTTTTCCAGTATTAAGTATAATTTCAGTACATGGTTCTGGAATTCCCCTTTCTGATGAAAAAAAATGGCAGATAAGCATAGCTAAAAACAAAATTAAAAACAAAACACATAGCGACGAAAAGTCTTGATATAAATTAAAGGTATACAAGATACAGACTGCTTAAGTGCCATCTCCTTCTTTCACTTCCTATCCCTACCCCATATTCTTGTTATCATATAAGTTGTTTATTTCTAAGATGCTAGCGTGAGAAGAATGTTTGATGCAAGCAACCTTCCCTTTAGCCTTTCAGACAACTCTTCCTACTCCACCATCTCCAGTTCACCCTAAGTCGTTTTCTGCCTGACCTCCGTATCAGGAAACATATTGAAATGCTCAGTGAGGACCCAGATCTTAAACCTGGTGGTTACAAATTATGTGCCACCACATAGCACTCCCTACTCCAGCACTCATTTTTCTTCTGAGGGAATTTCTGACCCATCCATCTGTTTTCCCCTTTTGTATGCTCTGGGCCATCACCTGGTACCATAGGATACAGTGTTAGAAATCACTGGCTTTGTTCAGGTCTCCTGCTGATTTTGCTTTAGAGATGTGCAGTACAGAATTCTCTGATTCATTAGGAATGTTAAGGCAAGTGCATCTGCCCTCCTAAAGTATGTTCCACTGCTGACAGATAATCAAGAAGGTGAGCAAAGAAGTTAGTATTTGACATGCAGGATGCTGTTATTGGAGCAAAGTCTCTCATTCCATTAATACAATTGGTCATCACAGCACTTTTAGAGAAAATTTTCACAGCTTTAAGAACATGAAGCACATCTTCAGAGGAAGCTGAAAGAAATAACAAATTGAGGCCCAGCGCCTGCCCTTGGTCAGGTTGCCACAGTCACCAGGGATACTTTTAAATTATACAAATACATTATCGCCAAAACATTTTTACAAAGAGTATTTAGGATGTCCTGCCATGTGCTTCGTGTTTTCTTTCAGGGAAAGCACCTCTTTAGAATTGAACACATAAACCACCTGTCAAAAGCTGATTTTCTGTAGAAGGTTGTGAAATACTAGAGCTGAGAAGCAGCAAGGTACCAACATACCCATATGTGAATAATTTTGGAATATTTTTGGCACTGAAAATATTTTCTGTTAGAAAAGAGTATGTAATAAAACTGACTGAAAGGTTCACATTCTTTGTGAGAAAGGCCCAGCATGATGAGTTAGATGGATAAGAAAATGATAACGCAGTGTGATTGAGTACCACTTGTGAGGAAAAGCTAACCTTGGCCTTTATATTTTTTTTCAACCATCACTAGAAGGCCATGATGGCTGTTGAGCACATGGCCGTGTTCTTGGTGCAAGAAGAAGAAAGAAGAAAATATAAACAAATTGACAAAACAAAAATAAGAAAATAAATAAAATAGCAATGACACTTAGAATATTGCTTGCTACTACTGCTTAGTGTAGAGGCCACTGGTGGCTCACAGGCCATGGTGATATTTATCAACCAAAGATATCGGCTGCATGTCCCATGACTTAAGCCACATATTTCTTCTCCTGAAGTGTTTCCTTTCTTCGCCTGTGACATCCATGGGCATGCACTACTCAGATCTTACTTCGAGAGAGAGCTTGCAGGGAGGGGTGCTGACAGCCTCCAGCTGCCTCCTCTTTGTGATCCAGCACAATGTTCATACCAAGGCCACATCTTTCCTGGGTTGCTCCCAGTCGATGACTGATTGTGGCGGTCTTGGGATGTGCAGTCTTTGCTCTGAGCCTTCCCCATCAGCCTGCTAACATTTTCTCAGGCCTTTACTATAATCTGAGACTCTTCTTAATTCTTCTACCTGCCTGCATTAATTCCTAAGGGCTCTCCCTGCCTATTCCTGCTACATTTCCCAATATTCCTCACATATATTTTGTCCTACAAATCTTTTTCATGTTTAATTCCATCTTGGCACTTCTCAGAGAACCTGAACTAGCACACATGCTCAAACTGATCACATTCACTTATAAAAAATCAAGGCCAAGTTCTTTTTTTTTTTTTTTTGAGATGGAGTCTCACTCTGTCACCCAGGCTGGAGTGCAGTGGCACGATTTTCACTCACTGCAACCTCCGCCTCCCGGGTTGGAGCGATTCTCCTGCCTCAGCCTCCCAAGTAGCTGGAACTATAGGTGCACATCACCACACCCAACTATTTTTTTTTTTTTGTATTTTTTTAGTAGAGGCAGGGTTTCACCATGTTAGCCAGGATGGTTTTGATCTCCAGACCTCGTGATCCACCCACCTCAGCCTCCCAATGTGCTAGGATTACAGGCGTGAGCCACAGTGCCCAGCCTAAATCAAGACCAAGTTCTAATGCTATAACCTTCATCAGGTCTGTTCTAATTTTTCTAATTGGTTATATTATCTCATTCCTTGAACTCCTTCTCACGAAAAAATTTGTATTTATTTTTTATGAGAGTTGTGTAAAACCTATCCTCTTTTGTTTTAATTTGTCCCTTGCTTTATTTCTCTTATTAGAAGATAGACACTGTTATGCTACTTTTAAAATTATTTATTCTTTCACATTTTTTACTACACTACCTGGCATATACTAGGCATTGATTGACTCTTTGCTCAGTTTAACCAAATGTATCATTACCATACTCTATGGGACACTTAGCCACTACACAGCATGGCCTGCTCATTCTCTTCAATGTATGCTATTTTCAAAGGGCAAACTTTCCCCCTTTATTCTGTGGGATTTTCTTGATATTGTATTTTAGTTACTTTTCAGTAAGGACTAACATATTCATAATTCTTTGTTGCAATTTGTCCATTTATCTTTCTTTTTATTGAACACTTGTATGTACATGGCCCTATGCTAGGTGATAACAAAGATGGATAAGACATAGTGCCTTGTCTTCAAACAGCTTAGAGTGTAAGTAGGAAACACCAATATTCGAAAAAATGGTAATACAATTTTTAGAAGTTTATGATATATGTTTGTACATGATTCAGTAGTTGCATAGAAAAAGAGATAGCCAATCCCACATGAGAAATCAGAGGAGTCTTCATAGATATGGTAATAGTTTACATGAGTCCTAGGATACTTATAGAAATTTACATTGTACAAAACAGGAAGAAGTGCTTGGTGAATGCCACGAATCACTCCCTCTCCCCTTGAGTAAGGTAAGATTTGCTCCCCCAACTGCAGGGAGTTCAGAAAGACGGTCCTCAGCTGACAGCCCTGTTTGGGATGGCCCCCAGTTAAAAATAATAAACAAAACAAACAACTTCAGCTAAGCGCATGCCTCTTTCTGGGATAACCCATCCCCAGTGACTGATCAATATCAGGGTATAAATGTTCAGATCTCTCACCCTTAACTGGGACAACTCTGAAGATCTGGTCCAGCTGAAGAACTTTCTGTAGGGTTGGCTGACAGCTTTGTTGAGACTGAATCACTAACCAATTTCTCTCTCTGTCCAATCCTGCTTACATTTCCCCCCTTCCATAGGTTTTAAGCCCCAGAGCACTCTCTAACAAGAATCTTACGTGGAATCTAAAAAAGTCAAACTAATAGAAACAGAGATTAGAAGGGTGGTTACCAGGGTTTGGGAGTGTAGGTTTTGGTGGGGGGTGGGTGGAGGGAAGGGGGAAAGGTTGACCAAAGGGTACAAAATTTTAGTTATGAGATGAATACACTCTGAAGATCCAACATGCAGCATGGTGACAATAGTTAGTAACAATGTATTGTGTGCTTGAAATTTGCTGAGAGGACAGATCGTAAGTATTCTTACCACCCCCCACCAAAAAAAGAAAAGTAACATGTGAGGTGATGGATATGCTCATTAGTTTGACCGCAGTATTGTGATAATCATTTTACTACATATGTGTATCAAAACACTACATCATATACTTCAATATGTATAATTTTTATTTGCCAATTATACCCCAATAAAGCTGGGAATAAACAGAATCCTGCATGCTAATTGCATCTCAGAATCTGCTTCTTGGAGAACCCAAATGGTGACAAGTGCATTTGGTCCAGGCAGAGACAAGCAGCACAGGCAGAAGGATGCACATAAGATGGCATGGGTGATTTGTGGAGCCACAATTTTCTGATGAAAATGGCATCCCATCTTCCTGTGTACTTTAATTTCTATTGTTTTATTTATTTTTTACTGAAAAAATATATACACACACATATATAATTATACATCTAAAACCACACCTATATATACACACACATATATACAGAAAATGTTCTTCACGTTTTTAAAATTTTCTCTTTCATGTGTTCTACAGCTGTGTAGCAAGGAAAATTCTAGGAAGTTCCTGTGAATCATCGGATATTTTGTAATATCTATATTACTTTCACATTCTGTGAATGCTAAATGTGAGGAAATAGAAAAGGGAGCAGCAAATCTTGTTTGATTTTAGTAACATCGCAATAGTAGTACATCATTATTCCATCGGTTTTCATTCTCTTAAGGATTCAGAAAAACACACATCTCTGTAATGCAAAGACTAAAATTGAATTAGAATATTTGAATTAAATTAAAGTTGCCTAGCTTTTTGAACTGCTTATAGATCATCTAAGCCCAGGAACTTCATAAAACCATAACCTCCCTAAATTTTTCTACTTGGAAAATTACTACATGTATTCATCTCTATTTTATGCCTCATCATTTATTTTAGTAAAAACACAACATCAGAAAGAGCATACAACAAATGGTGAGGCAGTCCTAGTCCAACTTGGGTCAATGCTGACGTTAATTTCTTGAGTGGAAGAGGCTCATGAATCACAGGACAACATACTATAGCCAAATATTTCCTATCCCACCTGTTACAGTCTTATGCTAACATCATTATTTGAAGTTACACCTATTGAAAGAGGAAGAACAATACCTTTTGAAACAAGAAGAGCAATGCTTTTTGAAACAAAGTGAAAATTGGCCGGGCACAGTGGCTCATGCCTGTAATCCCAGCACTTTGGGAGGACCGGGTGGGCAGATCACCTGAGGTCAGGAGGTCAAGACCAGCCTGGCCAACATGAGGAAACCTGTCTCTACTAAAAATGCAGAAATTAGCTGGGTGTGTTAGTGCATGCCTGTAATTGCAGCTACTCGGGAGGTAGAGGCAGGAGAATTGCTTGAACCCAAGAGGTGGAGGTTGCATTGAGCTGAGATTGCACCACTGCACTCCAGCCTGGGTGACAGAGCGAGACTCCATCTCAAAAAAAAAAAAAAAAACCAAAACACAAGAAGATAAAAGTTGAGCAAGTGGTAATACAGGAAGATGATGTGAAGCTAATTATGGTTGAGATAGGAGAAATTACAGAATTAGTCATGCACTTTATTGGGACTCTGAAAAGTCACAAAGATGTCTTCAAATAACCATATATTAATTAAAGGTTACCATTTTGGTCTCACATGTACTTTGCCTTCTCCATTCAACTACACATTTATAGATCTTTAAATCAACAACATCTCTAAAATTTGTTCATTTCCTACATTTGGGATTCAATTCTTTAAAATCAATCTGATTGCAAGTTCAGCCCGAGAGACACATTCTGGTATCATCATTTAGCATAATGTTAAAAAGATAGAGAGATGTGAGAAAGAAAGATATGCATTTTGTAGGTGGTATGTACACAAGATGCAAATGAAGGAGATACAGGCAAAGCAAAACAGAGTGATTCTAATTTAGTGCTCAAATTAGTTTTGCAGATAACTAGACACTTGTCTCTCATTTTCAATCACTCCTCTGTAGAGCACTTTGATGGGCCATTTTGATAGCAAAATTATAGGCAATTAAATTTAGAGGGCTAATTTTTCCAATGATTTCAGCTTCAGAGAAATAAGATAGGAGATAGTTTAAATACATCTTATAAAATGAAATAGTGTTGTTTCAAAGGATCAAAAGCTTTGTCTCTTAGAGAGTGAGAGGTTCCTAGCCTTTGGCATGCATCACATTTTTTATGATAAACAGATGTTTTCAGGTCTTGGAGATTCATGACAGAAAAAAATTATTCTACCTATCTGCTATAAGGCTTTTTCTAAGATGTGAAGATGGAGAAGTATTTGACATTAGCTGTTAACCCACCTGCAGAGAAAACTTCTGCCGCATTTCATCTGTTGAATTGTTCACAGGATCCAGACTAATGTTTATTTGTTCACAATTAAAGATACCACCTAGTCTTTAGAGATTCTTCCAAAAAGACTGTCAGACAGTCTGCAGGATCTGAATGTTAAGCTGCTCTCACTGTTTAAATACTAGCTCACTATATACATTATGCCTCTTGAAGAGTGTTAAATTGACTAACTGAAGCAAAGTAAAAAATTTTAATTAAGAAAAAACGTGGCTGTCTTCCCACAGCTGCCTCAGTAGTGGCAGCCCTAAATGGTGTATTTATTTGCATCTTATTTTCTATGCATACTTACGGGAAACCATCACTGCAGCATTGAGATATACATCTAAATTTGTGTTTCTATGGGTTTCATCTGTCCTAAGGAATGTGGCGCATAATACCTGCTTATGCTAAAGTATGTTGGCTAGAGGCTCTTTTATCCTAAGAATCAATTGCATCCCTTTAGAATGCAAGGCTGCCAATAATGTATTCTGGTTTTTCATACCAGAAAATAATGCAATTGGAATTATTGAAAGTAAAGCATACTGGAGAAAAGCACATGTTTTAAAACTGAAATGTAAGCAATACCAGCACAAAGGAATGTCTGGATGGCCACAGTAGCCATTGCCATGCAATCACATATTATTCTAATTGTAAGGGAGAGGAAAATAGGTTTTTAACTACAAAGGGACTCACTTAAATAAGCTTAAGGGAATACTTAAGGTGAAGATATCTTAGGAATTCCAAGTAAAATTTTCTGGCAGATAGGCTGGGTAGAGTAGAGTTGTCAATTATTTTTCTTTGAGACATAAGTCTTAATATTAGGTTTTCTTGGTTATTTTAGTTCAAGTTGAATTTTTAAGAGTTTTCAAGTGCATTTTTGACATTTAGTACCTATTAGAGTTCCCTTTAAAGATATAATACTCTTGTGTCAGGATGGTAAAGACTACATTGTTTGCTTGAGAGACAGCTGTTCAGCCTCTTAGGTAAATATAGTGGAAGGAAAGAAAGTTGCAATTGTACACATTAAGTTATGTTTGTAACTATTCAGGTCAACCTGGAAAACATATATGTTTATGATTTTATGTTTAAAGCACTTATGAAAGAGACAGATTATTGATTAAATAAAAACATGCAGTACTAGAATTGTGACTTAAAAATAAACAAGACAACACGAATACAACCAGTGACTGTCCTGAATTTAAGTATTCAGTGAACATTCACATTCAAACAACTCTAAGAGAGAATCAGTTAATAAAAATCACAGTGAAATAAAAAAAAGGCAAAAATATGAATTGAAACATAAAATATTCACAGCACTAGCTCTCTGTTTTCTAAGCTACAAAATGAATATTGCCATTGAATTCATCATCATTAAAATATGGCAGATTTGGAAAGAATGGGTTATTTTACCAGTCAGAGGATCATTGAAACTCTTCTTTTCAAATATGTTAAAAGTGTATGTTCTGGACTCATTTATTGATTTCTTTGTTACACATAATACAATTTGAGAATATGTCAATCTTTGCAAGTGATGATTGTGTTAAAAATTTTAAGAATAACAGGATGAATGTCTGGGGAAAAATTACCCCTTTCTATTAAGTATATGAACCTGGACATGCCATTTTACAATTTCTACCTTGGTTACCTCATCTACATTAAGTAATAATTGGATTTAGCTGATTACTAGAGTTCTTTACAACTCCAAAATGCTATTACCTGGTAAGTTTACATTACTTTTTCTGGGGTGTTTTCCAACACCAACAAACAATTCTCCAATTCTCTGCACACCAAGTTGGTGTCCAATAATTCACTTCAATTCAGACACTAACTACCTGGAGAAAATACAGAACCCACAGATTAAGGGCTCAGTCCTGTAAGACTGTCCTCACTTCAGACATCAGTTCCAAGTCTCAGGTTGTCACTGGTACTTCTGACTGACCAGCTATACATCTGTGGTTCCCACAATCCCCTCCTAAGGTTAAAAAATTTGCTAGAATGGCTCACAAAACCCAGAAAACTTCTGCTTATGTTTACTGGTTTATTATACAGGACACAATTTAGGAACAGCCAAATGGAATAGATGCATAAGGCAAGGTATGGGGTAGGAAAAAAAGGATGTGTCGCTTCGATGCCCCTTCTGGATGTGCCACCTTCCAACACATTGATGTGTTCACCAACCCAGAAGCTCATCAAATCTTGTTCAAGAAGTTTTTATGGAGCTTAATCTCCAGCCACTACCTTCCTTTCCCTTCCTGGAGATTGGTGGGTGAGGCTGAAATTTCCAATACTCTACTTAGTCACTTAGTCTTTCTGGTGTCCAGCCCCATCCTGAAGCTAGGCCTCCACCTATGTTACTTCATTAGCATAAACTCAGATGTGATCAGAAGGGGTTCTATATGAATAACAAAACACACTTCCAACACTCGGGAAATTTCAACGGTTTTAGAAGTTCTGCACCAGGAGGCAGAGACAAAGAGCAAATACATTTCTTATTATGCCATATACCACTCCTGGTTTTTGACGATGGATCTTTTACAACAAAAGGCTCATAGCAATTAAAAGATATTGTTACATTATTAGAGTCTCATTTGGTCATTAGTAATTAGTGCGGTTCATTATTATATCATATAAAAATGGCTCCCAGGCAAGACCATTCAGGTTTGCAAGCTTCTATTTAATCTCGTTTGGGTTCCCAAAGCAGGAAGTGGTCTCAGCAATACACTGCCTCATCTTTTCATGCATCTGGTAGAGTTGAGCTAAGAGAAAATATCTTTCATTCTGGGCCTCTTCCAAGATGTTGAGTTAATATTGGATTTCTCTCATTACTTAATACATTTATTCATTACTTTACTTTCAACTATTATTTCTCCTTTTCTCCATTTATAACCAAACTTTTCCAACTTTGGAAAAAACATTAGGTACAATCACTATACTGGTCTAGATTGCAGGCAGCAATACTAGTCTAGCAAGTGCCTTTCCCTGAGTTCATTACTATCCATCCAGAGTAGGGTTAAATAGACACAGAACTAGTGGATCACTTTGATTACTAGGCAGTATAGCTACATTTAATATGTTGGCATAAAGATCACAAGATCTGTAGATCTGTAAAAGAGAGCTTTATTTTTTTATAAAGGGTTGCAGGCTTCAGGCTGGTGATCCTGGAGGCTGGGAAGTATAGTCTCTGGTAGAAACCAAAAGCATATACTTTGAAGGAGGAAGGATGAGACAGGAATTTATGCTGAATGCAATGGTTCAGAATACATATTCAACAGATTATAGGAGGAGCTATAAATATCTGTGAAGTAGGAGTGAGTACATATGTAGTAAGCAAACATGCATGTTACGTACATCTCATATTCACTTTGGAGTGATGACTTAACATTTAAATGCAGTAAAATTGAGCTCTATATATCAAAAGGTGAAATAAAGGACACAGAACTAGCCATTCATGCCTCTGTGAACCAGCCAGAACCAGTCAGTGGTCACGTATCAGGAAGGAATGCTGGTCAGTTATTGTGTCAAAACCTGAACAAGGGGAGGAGAGTCCAACAGCAGCATCAGGCAGTTGGTTGAATTCAGTGGTAGAGCAAGTCTTTTGAAAGGGTTGGTTTCTGCTTAACTCTTGGAAAGAAAGTTTAATGGCAGTTAGTAAGGGAGGGGGTATAACAAGGTGTGTCCAACCTCCCATCCCTTCATGGCTGGAAACTCAATTTTTAAGGTTTCTCTGTGGTCTCCTTGGCCAAGAAGGGGTCTGTTACATCAGTTGGGGTACTTAGGATTTTATTTTTATTTATTAACACTTAACTCAATTTTGCCAGATGGGATGAAGGCAAAATTCACCTCCTGTGGCCCTTTGGAATTCTGATATAAAGGCTTAATAATATAGATAGTTTCTTGCTTAGGAGTCATCCCTGTTTCCTGCACTTGTAGTTGCAGGCCTGGTCTTGTGACCACTGAATCAGGTAGAAAAAGAAAAGTTGAAGCGATGTGCAAAACAAATTTTTAAAATATATGTATAGTTATCATATCAGCAAACTCTTACCTTAAAAAAAAGTGTAATCATGCCAGCATGCTTCCCCTCCCTCTCTTTCCCAGATGCACCAGAAAAACAGAATAATATATCTACTGGGGACACTTTCTTAGCCCCACTCTTGCTGAGTGTGAACACACCCTCACGAAGGTGTATAAGCTAGCCCTTCATGCCTTTATGTCCCCCAATTTTAGAAAACCAAAGTTTTGATTGCCCATTTCATTTCTCTATCAATCTATTACCTTGAGGAATATATCTCTCTGCCAATTGTTGGACATTATAAGCTGTATAGTATATTCCTTGGTCCGAAGAAATAATGATCAGCCTTGCAACTTGGTGTGATATCTTCGGTTCTAGTTTTGTATAGCACTCTAAATATTTGTGTCTATCACCAGATAAGCAAAGACCATACTGAAGTCAGTGTCTATTCCTATCAAGACCCATTTGTAGCCCTTTAGACATACTAGAATCAGTCTGACTTACTAGTTGTGTTCAGAGTCTTCCTCTGGGGAATCTGCCTGCAGTATTTGTCTCTTTTGTTGGCAAACAAAATAGTTCTTATTGGTCTTTGACATTTTGGAGGGTGCAAGAATAATATGTCTAGATTTAGCCTATCTTTGCATTACTGCAACCATCTAAGGTCCACCCATGTCATGGACTCAAGGAAGTACAACAAAATATCCACTTGATGGTTCCAATCCTCTTCTAAAACTGGAAAGGAGATTTTCCAGTAGACATTTATCTGACCTACTTAAATGCATCCCTCAAATGCCCATAGTGAATTCCACAGGGCTATGCCCCACATATGGGCATTCCTGCAATAGGCCAGTGTTCCATTGCCCTTCTGACTGACCAGATGTCCAGGCTATTGGCTACCTCTGATGGGTCAGTAAAAACCCAAACATAAAGGTTTTTACAGCTCTTCAATTCTTCCATCACTTCCAGCATGAAATTGAGCCTGCCAATCTGACTTGTTTTTACTATTTTTGGTCAGAGTGGGTAAACTTCCAAACAAGATGTTGTTTGTTCACCTTGGAACTTCCATTTACAAACTGTGCAGCTCATTGTTGGTCAGTCTAGTGCTGTTTATAAGGTACTGTCTAAGTGACGGAGAAGTCTGGCAGCTCCTCCTGCAGTTCCAAAGTCGATCCTAGAGGAAAAGAGGTGAGTACTTGCTTGTGTTCTCCTAGTAACATAATTTTGTATGAACTATTTCCATTTTATTATAGAAATTTCTTCAATATCATCCAAAAAAATCATGTTCAGATTTCAAGATCGTTTTATCTCCTTCAGTCATAGAGGTAGATTCAGTGAATATCCAATAACACACTGGTAAATGGCCTTCAAAGGGAAGTGTTTTAGTCTAAATTACCAGTATTTTGTCATTGAAAAAAGATCACAGGTTTTCACCATAAGCTCCAGTCTCCATATGGGGCTATAGCACAGAAAATAAAACAAAACGAAACTGTCCTTACCAGCACTCCATTTTCTGTTCTACATTGTGTGGGCTCAGGAAAAGTTACTGGTTTCCATTTAATAATAGCATGGTTGATTAATATTGCTTGAAGGGCGAAGCTTCCATGACCTCTCCAGGCTTGCCACCCTCTCAATACCTTGATATATTCACCAACCTGGAAGCTCTTCAAAACTCATTGTTCAAGGATTTATAAAAAGCTTAATATCCAGCTGCCTCTAACATCATCTAATTTCTCATCCTGAGACTATACAGAGGCTCCACCCAAAATTACAGCATTTTCATAAACTCAGATATGATCAAAAGGGACTTCTTAGGAATAACAAAAGATATTCATTCAGGAAATGTCAAAGGTTTTAGGTGCTCTGTGCCAGGCAGCAGGGACAAAGACCAAATATTTGTTATAACACACTTTTTCAGGAATTTTACAAACATTTCATGCTACTGAAGTAATAATTTATAAATAATATTGTATATATTGCAATATTTTTCACAAGATGGACAGTATGTAAAGTGGATTCTGTATGATAGAATTAGTCACAATAGTAAAAGGGTTATGTACTTGGAATATACGAGTTCTGTAAATTTCCTAAACTGGTGTTTCGGGAAGGATAGCATCTTAGTCCATTCCTACTGATACAACAAAATACCTTAAACTGAGTAGTCTATAAACAACAGGAATTTATTGCTCCCAGTTCTAGAGGCTGGAACCTTCAAGATCGAGGCACCAGCAGATTCAGTGTCTGCTGACAGCTATCTCTCTGCTTCAAAGATGATGCCTTATTGCTGTGCCCTCACATGGCAGAAGGAGCAAATCGGCTCCCTCAAGCCTTTTTTGTAAGGGCACTAATCCTATTCATGGGGGCAAAGCACTCATAACATAATCACCTTCTAAAGGTCCAGACTCTTAGTATTATTACATTGGGTATTAGGTTGCAACATATGAGTTTTGGCAGTACACCAACATTCATACCAAAGCGTATAGGACAGAAGACGATGTAAGAGAACTCAGGGAAAGAGGATTATGTCAGCCTGGTTAAAAACAGACTGTAATCACAACAGCCTGGCCTTGATTCTTCCACTTACTAGCCTGTGGCTTTGGGCAAGTTACATGACCTATCTGTCCTTCAATTTCCTCATTTGTTTAATGGGCCAATAATAGTTGCTATTTTATTCGATTCCTATGCATAATGAGAAATTTTACAATTAAAAGAAATTAAAACAGCAGCTGTCACATAGAAGGCATTCAATTCATATTATCTACTATATTATTATTATTTAGAATTTATTTTATAAATTCAATCATATGCCCTAATAGTAACTCATTGAGGTAGGTTTTGCTATCTACATTTCATAGATGAGGAAACTAAAGATCAGACACCTTAAATAACTGACTCAGAGGTCACCTAAATTGTAGGTTGTAGTGTGAGAGTTTAAACCCTGCCCTTTTTGGCATAAACTCTCTTTCCTCTGCAGCTGTGGAAGATGCTGCCTACCATATTTTCTCTTGTTACCCTCCTTGCACCTCCATTACCATCCCTTGTCTAATCCGTCCAGAATCTTCAACTGATAATGGCACTAGTAATCATTTAAGCCTGTGTACTTTCATTCATAGCTTTTAAATTTGAATCTTTGTAAAAGATCTTAAAGATTGTTTTCTGTACTTTATTTTTAGACAAGGAAACAGATTCAGAAAGATTAAGAGACAAGCACTGTGGAGATGATGGCAGTTCATGTCTAGGGCAGGACTGGAACACAGGTCCCCTCACTTCTTGTTTATTGCATTTTTCTTTTATTATTTGTAGTCATCTCCATACCTACAGGCTACTACTCTGGACATATTTATTTCCTTGCAATGTCAAAGGTAAGGTTGTTTATGTTGCTTCAGATGAAACAACATAAGGATGCACTGGTCTGATGGTTCTTTTTTCCAAGTCAGATTCTGAATGACTGTGTTCTTATGCTTACAACACTTATATGTCTGATTTTGATCTTTGTATGGATGCATTTATTTATTTTTATTTTGAAAATATTTAATTGTTTAGAGCTGTTTTAGGTTCACAGCCAAACTAAGCAGTAAGTGCAGAGGGTCCTCATATACTTCCTGCCCCTACACATACAAACCTCCCCACCATTACAGAGCTGCGCATTCCTTACAATCAATAAAGCTACATTAACACATCATTATCACTCAAAGTGCATTGTTGACATTAGGGTTCACGGTTGATTTTGTACATTCTATGGGTTTGACAAACGTATAATGACATGTTTCTACCATTATAGCATCATACAAAATAATTTCACTGCCCTAAAAATCCTCTGTGCTCTGCCTATTCATCCCTCTTTCTTCCACCAATCCCTGGTTTGTATTTACTTTAATCATCCATTTTGTCTTTTGCTTTGTCCTAAGGAAAAACAATTCTGCTTTGACTTATAAGGCACACTGTAAGTCATCTCCATACCTGCAGGTTTTTCTCACTTGCTGAAGAGCAATTGCTTGGCTTGTTCAGAATTGACACACCATACTTGACATTGGAGGACGCTAGTTGGGATACCTCAAAATTATTTTTGTGAGTGAGTGTTATGCACTCATATATGACGTAGGTTGATTATTAAGTGTTATTGAACAAGTAACCACTATAGTTAATATATTGATAGATAGCTGCAGTTTCCAGATTGAATGTAGCCCTCAAATGGGAACAAATGGTCACCAGGCAGAAAGAATAACAATGGCCATTGTAAAGTATCTCATAATGTGACTTTATTTGCAAATGGTGTCATTACAGAGTTAAAATGAGACCATGCTGGAGTACAGTGACCCCTAATCTAATATAACTGGCATCCTTCTAGAAAGGAGAAAATTGGACATAGCTAGGCACACAAGGTTTCTCCATGAATAACAAAATCAAGAGCTTACAGGGAGAAGGCAGCAATATAAATGAGTGAAGTAGAACAGAATTGTGGCAGGATGGATTAGTAGGTTCTGTGGCAAAATGAAAAGTGACTTCCCTACCTAAATGGCATTACTATCGTGGAGGAAAGTGGAGTCAGTGTTGCCTGATGATCCGATTTTTCAAGAGGAACTTGAAAGCCAACAATTTTATGTAAAATAGCCGATTTTTTGAAAATATTTCCGCGGTGGCTTACGCCTGTAATCCCAGCACTTTGGGAGGCTGAGGCGGATGGATCGCCTTAGGTCAGGAGTTGGAGACCAGCCAGGCCAACATGGCGAAACCTTGTCTTAAAAAAAAAATACAAAAAAATTAGCTAGGCATGGTGGCAGGAGCCTGTAATCCCAGCTACTTGGGAGGCTGAGGCAGGAGAATCCCTTGAACCCGGGAGGCGGAGGTTGCAGTGAGCTGAGATCGCGCCATTGCACTCCAGCCTGGGCAACAAGAGCAAAACTCCGTCTCAAAAAAAAAAAAAAAAAAAAAAAAAAAAAAACTCAATTTATCTTCTAAAATATTATGCAGGCTGAATAAAGAGAAAATCGTAAATATTTCCTGAAATTTTATGACCAAATTTTTTTTAGAACAAAATTAGTATTCCACAGAATACTCTTTGGGACCCTCTAAAAATGGGATGATTGCATAATTTTAATATAAAAGAATAAATTATGAAATATTTAAGGAACACGTACTGTTACCTTACTACTTAATGTCTTACAAGTTCCAAGGTAATTACTATGTCTGTTAAGCATGAGGCACTGCTCTATAATACCTAGGCGAATATTCGCCAGTGAGATTTTAATCTGTGGAAAATTAAAGTCTTTTCCTGGGGTATATCAGCCATATAAGATCCCCCACTCTGAGGAAAGAAAAATAAATATTTTTATCTTACCGCCTGATCTCTTGTCTTCAGCAGAACTCACACCCAACATACTTACACATATAGACAAGAACACTTATCTGGGGCTAAAGAAAAGTGAAAAGTTGATCCAAATTAAGATTTCTTCTTTTTAGAGATAAGAGAAAAAATTGAGTCCTAATAGCATCAACAGAGGAATGAATTGGGAAAAAATCCAAAAAATAAGTGAGATAATTTCTAGAAAGTGGCCTAAAAGATGGAGGCTATGTTTTTTTTTGTAGACTAGATAACCAACAATTTTTTATTTTTTTTAAGGTGCAGGTGATTTGTATATGAATATGATACTTTTTAATATCCAGCATTCTGCCAATAGTGGAAAGTTGGCCAATGACCAAAGAGCCAGAATGATCTCAGGAGGGCTGACACAAATGGAAGAATCCAGAAATCATCATTTATATATATTTTATTTATTTATTTATAAAGCATAAAACATCAGTCAGTGGAGTTTAACAGCTGCCCATATCAGAATTAGGAGAATGGACAATTGGCTAGTCATCTAGTTCAAAGACCAGACAAAGCTTCATGATATATACTTCAAAATGATATCTAGTGGACTATATGCAGATATGTATCTATGACACGATTTGACTGCAATATATCCAAATGAATGTTGTATTTTAATCAAATGGGCATAAAACTTTTCTTTCAAACGAGTTCTTTAAAAAAAATGCTGAAAATTTCCAGGTAGATATTTCTCCAGTTGAACAGTTTTATAGTGTAATATCTTCTATGCCCCAATTTTTCTCACTAGGTTGAGTTAACACTATGTAAATGATTTAGGGTGACAAATGGCAAAATGTATAATTTCTGCATATGATACATATTTGCTATTGGTATTGAAATAAAACAATGGAAGATAGCAGGAACATCTTCAATAATATTTGACTCATCTCAAAACCAACCTAACCACTGTTAGACTAACTTTATGAAATATCTTCAGTCATTTGATTGTGTAACTGAACTCTTCTGCCAGCTAAGTCTTTCCATTGAATGGAAATAATAGTTACCAAGTTACCATAGGAACCCAGAGGGTTATAGTGATTTCTATTTGGCATGTAGTTCATTACTGAGGGTAAGATACTGTTGTCAGCCTCTCTCCTCACTACTCTTTCTGCTCTAGGACGTGAACACTAAATGCTGTTAACCATCTTATTTTGCTGTTTGTTGGACAGGGAACTGACACTGTCACTCAACCACCAGTGAAGCAAGGAAAAATAAGAAAGAGGAACCTTCAGAAGAAGAGCTAGCTTGCCATCTGATACTTTCTTTGTCTGGAGGTTTGTTTTTAGAGAAGATGGTAAATAAATCTTTCTTATTGGTTGGTTTGAATGAAACCATTGACTTCTCTTTTATCCAAGTGTATTTGTCAGAATTGATCCAGAGGGAGAGAAAGGCTCTTGAAATATGAGATCTAAACTATGTAGTTCTTAAGATGATTATTATGTATAAGTGTGATTATTTGTGTTTAAGGGGTATACAGGGCCAGCAACAGGGATGGAAACAGGAATATAATGGATTAGCATCTCAAAGAACACTTAATGTCACTTTACTTATTATTCCTCACCCTCTTTATTTCCCACAGGAAAAATGAAAATTATGGCATTCACACCAGTTCTGATGAGAACTAAGGTCAAGACAAATATGTATTTTCTCAGACCTTTGAAATACTACACATGAGCTGACAACTTTCTCTCAAGAAAAATTCCTTCTTAGAAGGCAAAAATTCAATGGCAATGCATTCTCATTTTTTAAAATGGTGAGCTATAAAAACCAAGGTTTTCTACCAGCCTTTTCAACCATGTTGGAAGGCTTCCTGGTGTATTCCTCCCGAGCAAGGAAGGCCAATCGTACCTATGTGGTCTCCAGATGCCAGAATACTCCGTCTGACCTGGCGACATCTATTCTTGCATTCGTTGGAATGGCATTTTCTGGGTCATCAAAAGTACCCCTTCAAAATTGCTAAAATGTCAGCTCTTTTGTTGGGGCTTCTCCAGGGCGACTTTGCTTCCCTAGCCACCTTGTTGGGAAACAGCTGGGAGATGTTGGCTTTATCCAAATGTGTCAAATTGAATATTGAATCAGCAAGGTCTGTAAATGTTTATTATTGAATTCCAACAGATCTCATAGGATTTGATTCTGTATCCAGGGTATGAACAACTCACCCTCTTTCCTTAGATTAGACACATAGAATTTTGTGTCACTGCTTAAAATGAACCAGGAGACTACTGTACACACAAGATAAAGTAGTGGCCCCAAAAGGATTTTTTTTCCTCCTGATGAAGTGTACTACGTATTCTGGAATTGCTGCATCTTTTTCCCTCTCATGGTAAGGGGAATGTCCAGCAGCATCATAAAACTCCTGCATAACAACAACAACAAAAGCATATTTCTGGTGCAAGATTGGTTTGACATTTTCTTTGTTCATTTGCTCTGCTCTGAAAATATATTCAATGTGGCAGAACTTCCTTATTCTTATCAAAATTGTGAAGGGAGTCAGTAAAACATTCCTTGACAAAACAAATTATAGTAAATATGCACAAAACCAGGCACTTAATTGTACTGTTGTCTTCTATGACATTTTTTTCAGAAGCTAATATAGTTCTTATTAAAATGTCTCCTAAGAGAGCCTGGTGTTCACTATGTTTCTAAGGTCATGTTTTTTGTTCAGTTGCTGTAATTTCCACAAATAATACTGGAAAACATGAAGAAGATGAATCAGAGGATAAGGATGTGCTCTCTCTCTTAAGACAGGCTAATATAGATCTTTTTTCAAGAATTACTAAAACAGAAGTCCATCTTACTTTGCACAAAAGCAGATTTTTGCTTTTCGTCTGCTGTATCAGGGAAGCAGAGGTCTTCATAAGTAACTTTTAGTAAGTTTTTTTTGTGAATGATAAAACCTCTTTTCTCCTTCTTTCTCCATCTTAGTGACAAACATTTTGACACCACTCTAAAAATTATGGAAAATAAGCAGAAAGGAAAAACAGACACTGTGTGACACTGTCAAAAATCCCTGGGCATTTCAAAATGTTAGCTCTGCATGAAGGAATATGTATTTATCTAATTTCACACTTGGATAGTGAATCATTAATCCAGAATGAAAATGGACATTTTGCTTCTCAGGATTCCCCCTTTCTTTTAAAGTAGCCAATCACACAGCTTAATTTTTCATCACTTAAATAAAGAAACAGTATTTGAAAATTATTTCTTGTACATCTCATTTTTCCACAAGCACTCTAATTAGACCACATGAAATATGAAGCTATTTACATATCTGTCCAATATAACTATTTTTCATTCCCCTATTTGACCTTGATTTTGTGGCTTTTTATTCTCTACTACTGTTTATTTTCTTGTAGAATTAGAAAAAAAATTCTAATATTTAAACAAAACATTACATCGTTCTCAACCTTTTAGATTTCTTAGTATTTCAAATCCTTTTAGATTTCTTAGTATTTTAAATATCAAGGTAAGCAAATTTGATTTTGTTTTCTTTACATTGGGAGAACATGTGTGGCCAGATGATGGCATTATATGTGTTAATAGCTAACCTTTTGTAACTGCTACATTTAGCCTTTTAACAAATTCTTGAATAATCCAATCACTATTTCTCAAATAAATAAAATGAAATTTGCAGAATTAGAAAACCCATAATTAATAAATATTTTCTCTATGTCAGTGAGATTCTGTGGTTGAAATAGCTAGCTGACATATTAAGTAAGATAGACTAAACAATTTTTAATATATTTAGTAATAAAAATCTATGTGTGTGTGTTTCTGTGCCTGAGCAAGAAGGATTCTAAGGGTCTCTTCAAGGTCAATGAACTAAAAAGCATTACCTAAGGATTCAAACACAGGTTTAACAACACATATTGTCTTTGAAATCAGATAGATTTCAAGAATCCCTAGACTTCTGCTGTTCAGTAATTGTCTATGGGTCAATAGTAGTTCCTTAACTTAATAGTAGTTCATTAACTTAAGCCATCCAGAAATTTTCTGCGGAAACACACGATAACAACACAACAACATGTAAATACAAACACAAACAAATCAAAATAATTCATTTCATGATCTAATAGCATTAAGCAACTACTCCTACCTTGTGGCATATATGTGCCTGCAGCTGGTAGATGCTGGGATAGTAAGCTCGAGTCAGTAGGTAGTTGGAATTCAAACTCAATGGATTTCAATTGTTGTAATGCAAGCTCAATGAATTTAATTATATCTTTTAATCTGTTCTTGTTAATGTTCAGCTATGATATCAATGTGTATAAGGAATTATGCCACATATAGTTTTTAAAATTTAATATTGTTAATCTAATTAATTAAAATGTAATCAAAGAAAAGAATGCATGTGGCATCATGCATGTGTTTTTCTTAAGTGCTTTAATATTTGAAAAAATCAATTGAATGACACTGCTATTAGAGAATCTTTTAGAGCATCAATATCTTTAAATCCCCTCTTGCTATAATACCTCATTAAAACACACACACACTTTTTTATTACTAAATATATTAAAATCATTTCATCTTTATCTTAGTTAATATGTCAGTTTGCTATTTCAACCACAGAATCTCATTGGCAAAAATTGAAAATATGTATTAATTATGGGTTTTGTAAGCTTGGTTGGAGTGATTTGACTCTGCCATTTAGCAGTCTCTTAAAGTCCACAGTGTTAAGTCTCACGTTTCCTTCTCTTAGAATGCATATTCTTCTTGAGTGAATTTATTTCCTTCTATTGCTTTTAAAAGCCCCACTAGAATGTAATCTCCCTGAGAGTAATTTTGTGCCTCGAACACTGACTGACATACAGTAGGTACTCGATATATATTGATTGAATACATGAATGATGACCAGATAGGTGTCTCTGAATTAAATCTATCTCCTGACCTCCACATATTTAAATATTTATTCTATATCTCCAGGGGGTTCTAAAACTCACTACACTAAGAGCAGAATTCTTATTTTTCCAAACCCAATGAAACTTCTTTGTTGCTCATCTGAAAAAACAAAAAACAAAAAATAAAAAAACATTCATTTTCCTAGTTGTCAAGCCAAAATTGATGGCTGCATCTTCCACATTTCTTTTGCTCCTGTACTCTACAACTGTCACCAAATTCTGTCAATCTTTCTCAGGGAATTTGGAGGCTAAATATTTTGGTGTTTTTCAACTTTTTAGAGACTGAAACAAAACAAAACCCTCTACATTAAAAATCAGTCTATCCGTCTAACAGCTTACAGCTCCAGATTTTAGATTTAAATCTTTAGTCCATTTTGAGTTGATTTTTTTGTGTGTGTATGGTGTAAGACAAGGGTCCAGTTTCATTATTTTGCATGTGAATATACAGTTTTCCCAACACCTTTTGTTGAAGAGATAGTCCTTTTGCCATTGCGTATCCTTGGCACCCTTGTCAAAGATTAATTGACTGAATATGCCTGGATTTATTTCTGAGCATTTTATTCTGTTCCATGTAAATGTGTGTTTTTACACAAGTTCTATATGGGTTTAATCACTATAGTTTTCAAATCAGAATGTGTGATGTCTCCATCTTTGTCCTTTGCTTTGGCTGTTCAGGGTCTTTTAGTTCCATATGAATTTTTGAATTTTATTCTCCTTTTCTGTAAAAAAAAAAGTCACTGGGATTTTGAGAAGAATTGCATTGAATATGTAGATCCTTTTGGGTAGTATGGACATTTTAGCAATATTAAATCTTCCTATCTATGAACATGAATGCTTTTCTCTTTGTTTATATCTTTTTAAATTTCTTTCATCAGTGATATATAGTTTTCAGTGTACAAATCTTTCACCTTCCTGGTCAAGTTTATTCCTAATTAATTTTATTTTTTGATGCTATTATAAATGGGATTATTTTCTTAATTTCATTTTCATATAATTTAATATTACTGTTGATATTTAATATAATTTCTACAATTATATAGAAATGCAGCTGATTTTTGTATGCTGATTTTGCATCCTGAAACTTTATTGTATTTGTTTTAAGTCCTAACACGTTTTTTTGGAGTCTCTAGGATTTTCTACATGTAAGATTATGTTTTCTGAAAATAGAGACAATTTTAGTTCTTCCTTTCTGATTCTGATTATTTGACTTCTTTTTCTTGCTTAATTGCTTGGCTAGAACTTCCAATACTATGTCAACTCGAAGTGGCAACAGTGGGTTTTTGTGCCTTCTTCCTGATCTTAGAGAAAAAAGCTTTCAGTTTTTTACCATTGAGAATGATGTTAGCAGTGGGATTTTCAGATGTGGCCTTTATTGGGTTGAGCTACTTTCCTTCTCCACCTAGTTTGTTAAGAGATTTTATCATAAAAATGTGTTGAATATGTCAATTTTTTTCTGCATCTATTAAAATAATTATGTTATTTTAATCTTTTAATTTGTTATTATGCTGTATCATGTTAGTTGACTTGCATATGTTGAAAACAATCTTGAATTTTTGGGATAAATTTTGCTTGGTAATGGTGTATGATCCTTTTAATGTGCTATTGAATTTGGTTTGCTAATATTTTGTTAAGGATTTTTGCAGTGAACATAGCAATGATTTAGTGTATAGAAGACCAAAAGCATAAGCAACAAATGCAAAATTAGACCAGCAAAACTATATCAAATAACAAAACTTCTACACAGAAAAAAAAGTCAACAGAGTGAAAGGGCAACCTATAGACTGAAAGAAAATATTTGCAGAACATCCATCTGATAAGAGATTAATGTATAAAATATAGAAGGATCTCCTATAATACAATGACAATAAAACAAATAATACAATTTAAAATAGGCAAAAATCTTACATAGACATTTCTTCAAAAAAGACATACAAATGGCCACCAGGTATATGAAAAGATGCTCAGCATCACTAATCATGAGGGAAATGAAAATCAAAACCACAATGAAGTTTCACCTTTCATATGTTAAGATGTCTGTATAAAAAATAAAAATAAAGAAGATAACAAGTATTGGTGAGGAAGTAGAGGAAATTAGAACCCTTTTACATTGTTTGTCTGACTGTAAAATGGTGCAGCCACTATGAATAACATTATGATAATTCCTCAAAAAGTTAAAAATAGAATTTTTATATGATCCAGCAATATCATTGGGAGTATATAATTGAAGAAGTGAAATGAGGATCTCTAAGAAATGTATTTATTTTCATGCTCATTGGAGCATTCTTCCCAATAGCCAAGATATGAAAACAACTAAATACCCACCAAAAGATGAAGGGATAAAGAACATGTGGTTTATGAATGCAATAGAATGTTATTTAGCCTTAAAAAAAAGGAAATCTTGCCATCTGCAACAACATAGATAAACATGGAGGACATTATGCTTAATGAAATAAGCCAGTTACAGAAGGTCAGTGCTGCATGATTCCACTTAAATTAGATATCTAAAATAGTCAAAGTCATTAAAACAGAAAGCAGAATGGTGGTTGCCAGGGTTGGAGGTGGGGGAGAAAATAGGGATTTGTTGTTCAACAGATATAAACTTTTAGTTATGCAAGATAAATAAGTTCTAGAGATCTGCTGTGCAATATTGTGCCTATAGTTAACAGTATTGTATAGTGCACAAGATTTGTTAAGAGGTAGGTCGCATGTTAAGTGTTCATACCACAATACAAAAATTAACCTATCTTCATTTATAATTTTTTCTTATGGACAATAGAGATAACTTGCTGCTGCTCTCCAGAGTCTGTCTTTCACTGGACCATTATTGTTTGATTATCTTCTTTTTTTCATACCCCTATCCGCTCACTCTCCAAAGTTTGCTTCTGTGTACACATGGAGGGGATGATCTTCCATGGTAAAAATTGCCAGTCACGTATTTCTGGTGTTGCTCTTACTGTTATTATATGTAATCAAAGAGTTATCTATACTCAAGGCTTGTCTTTCCTTCCAGGCAACCAATTTCTCAATATCTTGAAACTCATTTTCCCTCATGTTTATTCACTGAAATTCTTTTCTCATGTCATCAGTAACCTCCAAACTACTCAATCCAATCACCTTTTTGTGGTTCTTAGCTTTTGTATTGACTTATTAACTATTTCTAAACATTTTATTATAATATGCCAAGTGTTTCTCTACGTTGTTTGTCTGTATTGAATATCCATTCATTCTGGAAACTTTTCCTTTCTCCCTGAAGCCTTATTAAATCTTAATATTTTTACTTTAAAAAAATCTTATTTTCTATCAAATCTTGCCACCCTCTTCTAAATACATACATTTTTCAAGGTTCTTTTCTAAGCTTTTTTGTGCACCATAATCTCTTTCTTATAATACTATCTTATATTTTCAATCCTTAATAATTATCTTTTTGTGCGTAATGCCTAGACATAAATCTGACAGCCCCAGCCCCAGTCTCACTTTTTGTTTTTCCCCCTGAGATGGAGTCTTGCTCTGTCACCCAGGCTGGAGTGCAGTGGTGTGATCTCGTCTCATTGCAACCTCTGCCTCCCAGGTGCAAGCGATTGTCCTGCCTCAGCCTCCCCAGTAGTTGGGATTACAGGCACACACCACCACGCCTGGCTAATTTTTATATTCTTAGTAGAGACAGGGTTTCACCATGTTGGCCAGGCTGGTCTCGAACACTGGACCTCGTGATCCGCTTGCCTTGGCCTCAGGAAATGCTGGGATTACAGGCATGAGCCACTGTGCCCGGCCCCAATCTTGCTTTTTCATTAGGCTCCACATGCTTATTTTTACCTGATAGACATTTTAAACTTCTTTCCTGCTAAAGCCTCAAACCTAAAATGTCTAAAACCAAATGTAATGGCTCTCCTACCTTTTAGGAGGAGAATTTTTCAGCAAGCACACAAACATCACACAAACATCCCTTTGTTTTCCTCTACCTGTTGAGACATGGATTTTTTCCCTCAAAGGTATAATCTTGTTCCATGTCTCTAAGTATCAACAAGTTCCTGCTTTATCCTCTGAATATTGTGCCCTCCCTCAACCTTTTTTTCTAAATATCTTTTAATTATCAAATAAAATTTATATCATTCGTTACCTCCTCTGGGAAACTTTCACAGATATCTAGTCTTAATTAAATGTCCCCCCTCTGTGTTTCCATTACATACTACACAACTCTTTATTCTAGCACTTATAAATCAACACTATATAAAATTTTTTTGTTGGTCTCCCTGATGAGATTATTAAAACTTGTGAGTAAGGATTATGTCTTCTTTATTCTTATATCACCATTTTACTAGGTAGATGTACACACAGATTGATTGAAAAAAAAAGGGAGAAAAAAGGAAAATAAAAGAGAAAAAAAGTTTTCTTTTTTCTCCAAATCAGGACTTGATGAATTCTATTCTTTTCTAATCATTCACAATCTAAATTGTGACTTCTTCCCAACTCTCGTTCATATAATTATTTTCTGGTTTTCGTTTTCTATTACTTGCTCTCAGTTTTTAAATGCTGCTTCCATAGTTCTTGATCTTAAAGTCCAATTGGTTCTAAATAATTTCAGTGGTATCCTAATGGTTTTCTTTGTTTCTTTTCCCTCTCAATTACATTGCCTTCTTCACACTGCCACTAAATCACTTTTTCTAAAGCATTCCTTTAAGAAAATTATTCTTCCAAATCTTTCAGTGGCTTATCGTCTTTTTTTTTACTATGTGTTTATTTTTTAATTTTTTTAATGATGTTTCCATATGTGTATTCATTTTTTTTTATACTTTAAGTTCTAGGGTACATATGCACAACGTGAAGGTTTGTAACATATGTATACATATGCCATGTTGTTGTGCTGCACCCATTAACTCGTCATTTACATTAGGTATAACTCCTAATGCTAGCCCTCCCCTCTCCCCCTACCCTAGACAGGCCCCAGTGTGTGATGTTCCCCATCCTGTGTCTAAGTGTTCTCATTGTTCAATTCCCACCTATGAGTGAGAACATGCAGTGTTTGGTTTTCTGTCCTTGCAATAGTTTGCTCAGAATGATGGTCTCCAGCTTCATCCATGTCCCTCCAAAGGACATGAACTCATCATTTTTTATGGCTGCATAGTATTCCATGGTGTATATGTGCCACATTTTCTTAATCCAGTCTATCATTGATGGACATTTGGGTTGGTTCCAAGTCTTTGCCATTGTGAATAATGCCTCAATAAACATATGTGTGCATGTGTCTTTATAGTAGCATGATTTATAATCCTTTGAGTATATACCCAGTAATGGGATGGTTGGGTCAAATGGTGTTTCTAGTTCTAGATCCCTGAGAAATCACCCTTCCGCAATGGCTGAACTAGTTTACAGTCCCACCAACAGTGTAAAAGTGTTCCTATTTCTCCACATCCTCTCCAGCACCTGTTGTTTCCTGACTTTGTAATGATCTCCATTCTAACTGGTGTGAGATGGTATCTCATTGTGGTTTTAATTTGCATTTCTCTGATGGCCAGTGATGATGAGTATTTTTTCATGTGTCTGTTGGCTGCATAAATGTCTTCTTTTAAGAAGTGTCTGTTCATATCCTTTGCCCACTTTTTGATGGGGTTGTTTGAGTTTTTCTTGTAAATTTGTTTAAGTTCTTTGTAGATGCTGGAAATTAGCCCTTTGTCAGATGGGTAGATTGCAAAAATTTTCTCCAATTTTGTAGGTTGCCTGTTCACTCTGATGATAGTTTCTTTTGCTGTGCAGAAGCTCTTTAGTTTAATTAGATCCCATTTGTCAATTTTGGCTTTTGTTGCCATTGCTTTTGGTGTTTTAGACATGAAGTCCTTGCCCATGCCTATGTGCTGAATGGTATTGCCTAGGTTTTCTTCTAGGGTGTTTATGGTTTTAGGTCTAACATTTAAGTCTTTATCATCATCTAGCGATTAAAGGCCTAGTATCTACTATCACTTTCATTTCTTTGTGACCAATCTGTCTAAGCTCTCATCAAATACTCTTATATATAATCCCCATGTTTCAGTCCAGTGGGTGTCCTTCTTATCTTGAGCCCATATTTTGCACCTTCCCTCACCTCCTATCCTTTTGCCCCTCACTCTGTTATACTCAGATTATTTTTCCTTATTTTTTTTTCCATTTCTCTTATTTTAAAAGGTTTTTCAACCCTAAGGCATGCAAGAAGAATCTTGTGATTGATATTTTACTGTCTACCTCTCTTGGAACTCACCTCTCTCTCCTCAAACAGCTATAGAATTTTACTTTGTGATACTACTCAGGTGGCCCAAGTCTGTTCTTTCTTCTTCTTATCTTTCATAAGTATTATAGTGACTACTCTACTTGCAAGATCTTTTCTACTGTATATTATAGCCTTTGAGATCAAAGGTTTAAATTTCTATCTTGAACATATAAGTGTTCAATTAATCTTTGCTTAACATCAGAATACAGACAGGTTAAAGGCATCAGCAAGTGAATAAAGAATCCATCTTCCATTCTTCTGAACTGACCAGAGGTCTATATTCACTTTCTGAGATAATAGCCAGTAGGTGTTCTAAAGGGAAAAAATTGCATCTGTCACCCTTTTCTTCTTTTCTTTTTTCTTTCTTTTCTTTTTTTTTTTTTTTTTTTGAGACGGAGTCTCGCTCTGCCTGTCGCCCAGGCTGGAGTGCAGTGTTGCCATCTAGGCTCACTGCAAGCTCCGCCTCCCGGGTTCACGCCATTCTCCTGCCTCAGCCTCCCAAGTAGCTGGGACTACAGGCGCCTGCCACCACGCCCGGCTAATTTTTTGTATTTTTAGTAGAGACGGGGTTTCACTGTGTTAGCCAGGATGGTCTCGATCTCCTGACCTCGTGATCCGCCTGCCTTGGCCTCCCAAAGTGCTGGGATTACAGGCGTGAGCCACCGCGCCCAGCTTCTGTCACCCTTTTCAATGATATTCAAGACTATGTGGGCAGCCATATTTACATCACCTACTACTCTGTGAGTACTCATTGTGATTTGTATTTGACTTTTATTTGAGGAAACTTGTTGCCCTCCTCATTGCAAACAATATTTATTCTTACATCCAATTCTCCATCTACATCCTTTATAATCACTCGAAGAGAGTGAGAGGAACTTCACATACTAAAGCCTCATGTCTGACAAAAATACATCTATACTACATGGATCTGCCACTTGAAATACTGAGGAAGACTTTGGGTACCTTCGACCTTTCAGAGTCAGGCAGTTGCAAGGAATGCCTCGTTTGTTGAGGGTAGCGACACTGCCTTCCACGTCCAGCTGTAATGGTGTCATGTGAGAGGTTGAAGGCCCCTGTAGTCAGCCTTTTAAGCTTTTATGAAAAATGAATTTACAGGTCACCTTCAGACTTGCATGGTTAAGAGAATCTCCACCCTAATCAACATCATAAGCCTCAGCTGATGAATTTATTATATACCACCTCAGGTGATAAAACAAAGCCAGAGTTTGTTCACAGTGCAGCACCCGTGTGACCTGCTTTCAAACACAATTTCTTGAACTAATGCAGAAGAGCTTTCTTTTAATAAGACAAAAAGATAAGAAATCTCTCCTGGGCTTAAGAATAAAGCCATAATACATTTTTATAATGTTTAAGATAAATCTGTTTATTCATTTCAATAACCGTTAACTAAAACCCAACATAAGTGACATTCTGTGCTAGGGTCTAAAGTCATCAAGATAAATGAGACCCAGTCCCCTACCCTTAAGAAAGTCAGTGTATAAATGAGAAAACAATAGCTTCAATATCAAGGCTCTGGAAACTGTCCACTAAAATCTCCTAACTCTTTTGTTTGTTTGTTTTATATGCCACACTCTTTCCATTCTCTGGTGTATTATACTCTTCCCCTGTAAGGTTCTTTGTTTTTTGTTTGTTTTTTTTCCTCTTCTTTTAGATGGAGTTTTGCTCTTATTGCCCAGACCAGAGTGCAATGGCACCATCTCGGCTCACTGCAACCTCCACCTCCTGGGTTCAAGTGATTCTCCTGCTTCAGCCTCCCAAGTAGCTGGGTTTACAGGCACCCGCCACCACACCCAACTAAATTTTTTATATTTTTAGTAGAGATGGGTTTTCGCCATGTTGGCCAGGCTGGTCTCAAACTCCTGACCTCACGTGATCCACCTACCTTGGCCTCCCAAAGTGCTGGGATTACAGGTGTAAGCCACCGAGCCCGGCCCCCTGGTAGGTCCTTGATTATCCCCTCCATCTGCTAAAACTCTAGGATTTATTAATCCATTTAACAAATATTTATTATGCTTAGTAACTAAACAGGGGATATAGAGCTGAACAAAACAAGTATGGCTTCCCTCTATGGCAAATTTCATTCTAGCAGGAAGAAACATGTAATGACTTGGCAAGTAAATAAATTATATAATTTTAGAAAGTGCTGTTGACCAAGGAAGCTTCTGAGGAGGGTGGCATTGGGTCAAAACCTAGATGCTAAAAAGAAGCTGGCCATATGCAGATCTGCTTAAGAACCTTCTAGGCAGAAAGAACTAAAAATACAAAGGTATTGAGTCAGAAAGCATGTTGAGTTCTCTGAGGGACAGAGAGCTAGCCAATGGAATGTAAAAGTTGTAAAGACATTACACAAAATGGAAAGGTACAGGAAATAAATCCTGAGAGTTAAGCAGTAGCATGTGTATTGACTATGCCAACATTACTACTGACAAGATATGTGTACCTGGCAGATAGAACAACTGTACCAATAGGGCACTGTGAAGCTCTGGTTATTAACCCTGAGGACACCACATGTGAAGTTCAGAAAGTATAGAGTAATAAAGACAAATAATAAGAACAGGCAATGGCTGTAGAGTTGCATAGAAGCTCCAGAAAAGGAGGACAGACTGACTGAAGGGAAAACAGTGAGAAATGACTCAAAAGCTCATTGCAATTACCACAGGGATGTGGCTGGACAGGAGGACTGGCTCCAAGGAAATGACAGCTGCATTTATAAGAGCTAGGAAATGCTTGGTTTAATGTTTTGCTCTCGTCATCTTGACATTCTTAATAATTTTGGATCAAGGAGCCCAACAATTTCAATTTATGCTGGATCTCACAAATCATGTTACCTGTCCTGCTAGTCAGAGCAAAGTGATCTAAGAAAAATGTAATAAAGTTGCATTAGAAACATTTTAATACAAATGTCTAGAAATGATTGAATAAAAAATTAAGTGAAACTATAAATATACTTCCATGTATGGTTGAATTTTCAAAAATTACTAGGCACCATATACCGAGAAGAGGCAACACAAACCAGAACAGTTGTGGGAAGGAGGTCATCTTATCACATGCCAGATGTCAGTATTTAAAGCCAGCCTGTAGTAACTAAGTCAATGGAATTATCACAGGAATGGGCACAAACACACACATGCACACACCTAAACATACACACACACCAGAATAGGGCTATGTACATAGATAGATACTTCATATATCTCAGAATTGGTAATGTAAATCCATGGGGAAAAGATAGACTGCTCAAAAACTGATGCTGGAAAGTTAGTAATCTAACAGGTGTTAGCAAACCTATTTCTATTTCACACTCTACAGCAGAAAAAAAAAATCTATCTAGGTGGAGTAAAATCCAACTGTAAAAGTACAGCTTTAGCATGTTAAGGAAAATATAGGTGACTGTTTTTAAGATCTCTGGCCAAGTTTGGATATATGTGTTAAAAGATAAATGTGAATTAAAAATTGTCAAATTTGGCAGCACTAAAATTAAAAAACCTCTTAAAAATCAGTTTAAAATGAGATGACGAGCTACTAACTGAGTTTTCAGTATGTATGACAAGATAAAATAGTTGCTTCCAGAATATATACAGATTTCCTTCTAGTAAACATTTCAACAAACAAAAAGCTTAAGATTATAAATTCTCGTTCATAGACTAGGAAACAAAAATGTTCGATAACTCTAAGATGTTAGTAACCTCATTAGCAATAAGCTGCCAATATAGATAAGTCACCAAAACTTGTATTTGCACTCAAAATTGATTTACAGAATGATGTACAGTGTTATAATACACATAAAGTTTTTAAAAAGCTTAAAAATTTTTAACAGTAAAATTGTGTTTCTGTGTTTCAATTAAATGTACATATTATATGTGGCAAACATATGAAATATGCCTGTGAGATTCTCATCAAATCCATTTTTAGTCATTAAACAAACCTTTCAAGTACTAACAATGTGAAGGGCACTGAGATTCTTCAGGGCATACAATAATGAAAGCACTTACATCCTGCCCTGAAGGCACACATGATCTTGTAGGAGAAATAGAGCATGCACACAAATCACTAAAGCATACCCGAGACACTGGGAAAATCTGGAAACACAGAGATAAAATGCTGCATGATCCACAATTAACTAGTTGAGTTAGTTAATTCCTGTCTTCCAAAATTCATTTTCACTGAAACTTGGGAAAAAGTCAGATTCTATGAATACTGTAAACATACCAATGCAATTGACATTTGGACAGTGGGGGTTGAGTGCCAGAAAACTTTGGGAGAAGTAGGTGTGATGTGCAGGATAGCCTGGGCAAGAACATGTATTTGTTAATGGTTTGCAATGCCTCAGACTTTACATTATTTATGAAAATAATTATTATTTCTTACATTAATATATAAATAATATTTTAATATAATGCTGATGATACGTATAATATTCACATTACTACAAGGTGGATATTATTTTATCCCGTTTACTGAGAGGGAAATATAATCTTTGCATGGATAAATTAGCCAAGGTCATGAGCTCAGTGAGCAGGAGATCTAAGATCCAAATCCCAAGACTAGCTGACTCTGAGGTCTATGGCCATTCTTGGAATAACATGTCTTCTAAGGAATTCTATTATTTCTCATCTAGATATCTTTATGTATATTTTAAAAACTGGTTATTTTTAAAAAGTGGAATGTTTTAAGTAACTTCTATCAGCAGTTCTTAAAAGAGTGAAATTATGTACACTCAGAAAAACAAATACTGTGAAACAGAATTTACTTATGTGGAATCTAAGTTGAACTTATAGAATCAGAACAGAATGCTGGTTGCCAGGAGCTGGGGGTGGGTGCGGGAGGAGAGGTTAATCAAAGGGTATGTATTTTCAATTGTAAGATCATTAAGTTCTGTGGATCTAATATACAGTGTAGTGAAATACTATAAATAGGTAATGATATTCCATTGTTTCCTTGAAATTTATAATAGAGATATTGTGTCCTCACCACGCCCCCCAACACACACACACACACTCAGACGGTAACTATGGGTGGTGATTGATGTGTTGATTAATTTGACTGCAGTAATCAGTATATGATGTAGAGAAATATAAAATCACCTTATATACCTTAAATATACACAATTTTTATTTTTCAATTAAATATCTTAAAATTTTAAAAACTAAAAAATGAATATAAATAAAAAATGGATTGTTTTAAGTAACTTCTATCAGTGAGTCTCAATACATGTTTTCTGAATCTTTGGTGTCGCAAGTGAAGTGTCTATATATGTCATGTATATTCTTCAGGTTGAATTCTACATATCACATTATCAGAAGATAATATTTACAATATGTAGTATGTAATATTTAGTAACTACCACCCATACTAATGATAAAGCATAGTGTCATGGAAAATATTTGTTTACTCTCAATTTTGATTCAATAATTGTGTGCTTTTAGAAATTTTCGTGGCCATTTAAAAAATGAAAAAAAAATTAGAAGATTTTATTAAGTTTGTTAGATATGTATTTGTTTAATAAATATTTATTAGATGTTACCAATGTGCTACATCCAATTCTAGGTACTATGGTTACAGCAAACACTTAGACCTTCACAGAGCTTTACTTCAGAGTGGGAAAAAATATAAAAATTCTGATAGGGATATTTGCTATGAAGAAAAACAAGCAAATAAGAGGATGGCCAGGGACTGGGAGAGAGTGTTCAGGAAATGGATGGAATTTGATCCTAAGGAAAGTGAAATTGCAGGTTCGGATGATACGACTAATTGAAAGACATTTCTCTCTGACTTGGCATTTCTGTTATCAGCTAAGCTGCTTGCTTTGCTCCAGTCATAGGTTAATTAGTTGGGAGAGATTCTTGACAGAAATCGGCTGCGAATGTTTGCATTCATTTATTACTCTTATTTTCAAGAGGAAAATGAGGATTATACTCCTCAGATAAAAGGTTGAACAAAGCAAGTTTTTATCTTCTGCAGAGGGGTAGTTTGTCTTGCTCAAGATTTGATAGAGATTTGGAGAGCATTTCGTGGATAGTGCGGAAAGTAGGTTCAGATTTGCCCTTAGAACCCAAGTTTCTCAGCTGAAAAACTCACAGTCTCTTTTCTCTAAGACACAATGTATTATTTCTTGAAGGTCACTATAATTCTCATCTACGTCCTGGAGAAAATTCTTGACATCAACTTGAAGGTGCTCTTATAAAGAGACTCACTACAGAAACATTCATTTCTTTTCAACGTATTTAATTCCCTACTCTGACACTGGCTAGTTACATGACCTTGGGCAAATTGCTTTCTCTCACGAAACTTCTGATTCTCCCAGACAAGTTCCCTTTTCTTCATCACTCAAACAAGTCTTGAAATCTCATCTCCCGTAGGAAGCAATTCCAATAAATTAGAGAAAAAATGATTAATTCCAATATGCCACTTCCATTGTGCTTTTCTTCTATTCCTACCTATCTACTAAATGCACTTATTTCCACTGTTTACAGCTAGTAAAAAGATACTTTATTTTCATTTTATTGTTTATTTAAAACTATTTGTTTATGTTGTCATCTCATGTGCATACTACAGGGGAAAAAGTAGTATCTTTTCCTTACCCGTCTCAAGGTTCATGCTTACACCCTACGGCAATGGCAGATTAAAGAAAAAAAGCATAGCAAATTTATTTCATGGAAGTTATACATGACCTGTGTCTTCAGAAATAAAAATGCAAAGACCCAGGGAAAGCTGTGTACTTTTTATGGACAGTCCTGAAGAAGTGTCATTGGAGGACAAAAGGCTATGTGTGATCTTATGGTAATAAACTGAGGGGAACTCATCAAGACTCTTTTTTCAGATTTTTCTTGGCCTCTGGGTATACACAGGATCCTTTGGAATGAGGGTTGTATAACCTACTTTCAAAGGAGATAGGTCAGAGAATTTTTTTACAACCTTGTTTCAGGGAAGAAAGGCAGGGAAAAGTTCAGAGAGTAACTGAGGTTACTCCAAGGTGCCATAATCTGGGTAGCATGTTCTGAGCCCTGACAATACTTACATATTTTGTAGATAACATTCCAAATTAATTGAGTTATATGTTCATGTTTCAGACTCACTGAAAACTGTATTTACCCTTTACCATCTAATTCTGCTCAACAACAGAGATTTGTTCAGGAGTAACACTTCAGATGGCACCTTGGTTGCCAGAGAAATGGCCTAACATAGGGATCTGTCTGAACAGAGGGGCTCAATATGGCTTTTATATCTGGTTTCCTGCGTCTTAAGCTCAGTGTCTAACACTTTAAAAGTGCTCAATATTTACTGGTCAAAGGATTTGTGGAAGGATGAATCGCAGCATTGCCTAAGAGTATCAGGACATTGGACCTGGAATCTAAAGTTTCTGCAAAGCTCAGTCATGGCGTTGTCAAACTGTCTCTGGAGGGAATAGGGGGTGTTGGGACAAGAAATTGTGGGAATCTGGTTTACTTTCATTTCTGAAACTAGTAAGTTGGATGATTTTGGCAAAACACTTACCCTCTTTGACCCTCAGGTAACTACTCTCTCTCTCTCTCTCTCACTCACTCACTCTTTCTCTCCCTTTCTTCTCTCTCTTTCTCCTCCTCCCTCTCTCTCTCTCCACTTACATAGATATGAATTGAATGAGACTGTTTCTAGAGTAACTTCTAGGTATAATATTGTAGAGTCCATGAGTGTATTGACAATCCAGCTAACCCCCCGCTTGTAACCCCACTCACCACTTCAGATAAACCAAACTTTTCCTAGGGACTGTATTTAAAGTAGGCAATGCTGTGGTCAGAGTTCATGTCTGGGTGACTATAATCATTCCCAATAGCAAGATGGGATAATGGTTATGCTTCCAACTGTACCAAGGAAAGAGTTGTTTTCTGAGCGTTGGAATGCCCAGTGCAGCAGAGAAGTAACATAAGGACTTAAACAAATGTAGGCTTGAGATAACATAAGCTTGATGCCCAGCAGGTAATGGTATCCTTTATTTGTCAAATAATGTCAAAAAGAGCTACATACATAGAAATGTGCTAGAAAATACCAATACTTCTAGTGCTGCTATTGCAGCTGAATATAATCTGCTTCACACTCAAAACACTGCAAGAATTAATGAGTGCAAAATGCTTTTGGGAAGAGAATGAGCCTTCCTGAGCTCTGTCTAGGCCAGTGAAATGGGCTGACACTAAATAACCCAAAGGCTCCCTAAGCAGGGTGCCATGAGTATTAACATATGTATTACACCGCATTAACATCATGAGTGATTAAATTAGCTATCACCTAAACATGATAATGGCTAAATCATCCTTACCAGGCAGAGCAGAAAATTGCACACAGCTTTTGGGTATGGGGCAGTGAATAAGATCATAGCACTTCAGTGTCAGCTAGGCAGAGCCAGCATTAAATGAAAATTGTTCAGTTAGAAGATACCCTGGCTCTTTTCCAGGGAATGCTTCCCCTGCAATTAAACATTAAGAGGGCATCAGTAGGCCCCACACTAACTCAGGGCTGTGGCGTTTATTTATCCATTTTGAAGACACATATAGAAAGAGAGAACACTATTATCACACATGGATATATGGGCAACATCCCAGCTGAATAATAAACTCCATTCTGTTTTTTCCTTTACATTGCAAATCTCCATCTTTGAGGGTCTTCCTGCAGCTAACAAAAGAGAGTAGAGAGAGAGGGGACTACAGGCTGGTGCTGTCTTGAGCATCATTTATGGGGATTGTGGCATGACTTTTTAGGATAGCACCACAAATCATTATACCGGCTATTCATTAGAAGAAAGAAAACTTCTGTGAGAACCAAGACATAGCACATTGTAATCCCAAGAACTGCTTCTTGTTCAGTGGTGTGTACTAATCATTGCCAGGGGGAAATCATCTTTTCATTTTTTGCTTGAATAATAAAGAACTCCTGAGCCACTCTAAGGGTGTCAAAAGCTCACTATGTGGTCTTTTGTCCTCTTTGGCCACTGTGTTGCTCCCATGTACTTCTGTGATTTTGAAGTTACCCTTACCTTCTCGTACTTGAACTCTTTCCTCTGTCTCTCTTCTGTTAACCAGAAGCTTTGTGCAAGCCATTGCTGCAACTTCAGTGAAAAGTGTTCTTATGAATAATACTGCATTTTTCTGAAGGCCTCCGAAACAAAACAACTGGTTGGTTTAACAACTACCCTTTCCAAGATTTTTCTGCATGATTAGAAATATAAGCATATTGCTTAGAATCTGGGAACTCTCTCCTTTCCTTTAGAAAACAGAATGACAACAAAAAAACTGTTATTTTGCTGCTTGCAGGAAAGAAATAGCTGCTTGATAAGAAATAAGTACAAATTGTGAAAGTACTTCTCAAAGTCTGGCTATGTTTCAGATTCAAGGCCCACAGTCCCAAGCTACATCTTCATTGACAGGTTTCTCCTTTTAATACATTCTAATAGGAATTTGGCCAAAAGACATGGTTACAAATGCTTAGAAGTCACGTCCTTTATTTTATCTTGTACAGGTGAAGAACAAATTCTTAAAGATGGAAAACTTAAACACTGAGTCACTAATAGAGATGGTGAATTCTCAGAATGACTTTCTATATTACGAGAATTTGTAAATACTGTTTTACAATGTTACTTTTATGATATTTCTGTTACTGTTCCTGCTCTGTTTTTGTTTTTTAACAAGAGTGATAATTTCCTGGGAATTATCACCAAATAAATAGTCTTTTTGGGAAAAATAATATATCAAATTGTTCTGTTTCACCAAATAAGTTATAAATAAGATTCCCTTGTATTGAAAACAAATTGGAATTTGTTTTATTTTATAAAATATTTATTTTACTCACAAATTTCCTCCTTCCCTCCATGCAGATTCCATCAACTGAAGTCTGGTTTCATGGGCATGCTACCAATACAGTCACATAGGACCCCAAACTAAATATGGCTCATATTTGGTGTTTAATGCTCTGAAGTTTCCATTTTGAAATTCTTCATAAGGTTACCTTTACATTTATGCTTTGTAAGTAGAGTCCAGTGGGGGAAAGAAGCATGTGCTGGGGTCTTGGAATCTTAGCAAATAGATGGTCCATCTCACACCACATATGTTTTTCTGAAACAGGTTCTCTAAGGCCCATCCATGCTCTCTGGTTTCCCCGCCTGGCCTTGCCTCCCCCTTCTCATTGCCACCTACTGACTAAGGCTGGCAAATGCCTCTGCAGGGATCTGAGTGTGGGCACAAGGAACACTGGGGTCACACACTCTCCTGGTGTCATCAGGCAGGGCAAGGCAACAGCCATTTCTCCCCTGCAGTGGTAGCACCTGGACGTATTTTTTCAGCCACTTGCCCAGGAGAGGAGAGAGCGGAAGAGTGTGGGAAGGGGAGATTAACTTTATTACTTCCTGCAAGGCCTGTGCATTTTCTTTTTATACTGAGAGGGGCAGTAGACAACTCTGTCTCAACTCCCATAGTTCTAAAAACTGTGTCACTCATGACTTTCTTAATAGTAAATCTAAAGGTTTTAGTCATCGGTTAAACAAAAATTTGCTGAAAGGAAAAAAAAAATTGCTTCTAAAATAATTTCAACTATGATCTTCACTTTTAAAGTCTCCTCCAGAGGTTGAGGGAGAAAAGGCACACAGCTAGTTGGTGACTCTTTTAGTTAGATTCTTTGGGCTGCAAGCAAGAGAAAATCACGAACACTCCCTCAAGGAAAAGTGAGTTTGTTATAAGGCATGAACAGTGAATGCCATCAGCAGCAAGGCAACTCAGGTGGCTTCTCACTCCATTTCTGTCAAGAGCTTACAGTCTCTCTAGGGCATCTCTGCTTCTTTCTGTCTATCACCTTCCTCATCACTTTGATTTGTATATGGCTCACCACGGTCTGTCATAGGTTTCAACTTCTTCATTGCAGCTTTATAAAGTCAGTTCCTACTGCTAACTACCTCATTACCTGGATATTTCTCACCAGCTCTTCTTTCATGCTAGGACACCTCATTGCTGTCAGGCCCTGACTACCAATTGACTATTCCTCGGTCAGATCCTTCATTCAGTTATCTCAGCTATGGCCAGGGTGTTGTGCAGGAAAATGGGTCACCTTCTTCATGGAGGGTTGAGGACAGGGCAGGCCCTTTAATGGACACCTACTGCAACAGCACATTCTTTCTCTGTTCCTGAATTGACCCTGTCACTTTTATTCCCGATTTCAGTTAAAGGCCCCATCATGCCAGTGGTTCGGTGAGGCACAAAATTATGTTCATACTCTTTTCTTTCCCTCGTGCATCACTTCTATTGGCTCTACCTCCTCAGTTTTTCTTTTCGTATTCTGTGATTGGCTTCAGAATAAAATCCAGTGTCTTTAGTATGGCATAAAGACCTTCCTGGCATGGTTCCTGACTAGTCTCCAGTCTCATTCTCTGTCACTCTTGCTGTTTCCTACCCTCAAGTATTGCTATTAAACTACTTGCAGTTCTGTAAAAGAGCTATCCTCTTTCTCGTCTTTATAACTTCCCACATCCTGCTCTTCTTCCATAACACAAGCACAAGGCATTTGCCTTCCTCACAGCACTGATCACACACTTATCACAAGGCATTGCTGCTGTTTCTTTAAGTGGTTTCCCAGTAGTTTGTGAGCTTATTGAGGACACACACCATGTTTCAGTTTTCTGTATCTCTTACATCAAGCCGAGAACATAATATACGGTATATGTTAAATATAATAAATACGTATTACTGTATGTCCCATATCTTAAAAATTTCAATGACCCTCACATTGTTCTCAGTATAAAGCACACACTCTTAAGCACCTCTCCCATATCATGTTTTCATTACTCTTCCATTTTATATTCCAACAATACCGAAACACTTTTGCTTAGTCATTTTCTCATGCTAATTTATTTCTCTTTGCTTTTATAACTGATGTTCCTTATGTCCAGAATACCTTTCCCCAAAGTTTCTGCACAAGAAATTCCTACTTATTCCTAAGTATTTACCTTAGGAATCGGCTACCTTGGGAAATCACTGTGCTCTCTTTTTTCCCTCTCTTCTGGTAATTTTAGACTCATTCCTCTTTAGCATCTGGTAAAATTTCTTTTCTCTGGTATTGTACTTTTACAAAAGTATACCTGTTGCTTTTATTGTCTTTCTCTTTAGAGAAAAGAGACAGGTCCTTTTTACATCCTCAATATATAATGAGACACATTTAGAGATAGAACATAATCAACCTAGACCTAAGGACTAGGTCTCTTCTGGCTTATCCAAATGATTTTCCCTTTCATAATGCCAACTTCTGTGAAAATAGTTGCCTTCAAGATAAATGATACAGTTATTCCACTAATGCAATGTTATTATCGCAATATTATTAATACATTATTCTGTATAAGATAAGAAACACATTAAGATGCCTTAAGAAAGACAACAACCCTATAGCTTAAGTAAAATTAAAATTTATTGCTGGCCAACATAACATCCTAGAAATGATTGGTCTAGGCTGTAAAATAGTTCTGCTCCATGAAGTAATTCAGATACAACATCAAAATCAACTTACTTCTGTCTTGATTTTTATGTTGCTATTGGCTATGTAGTTGCATCTGGGTTGCCACTACCAACACTTGAAAACCTGTAGGAAAGGGCAAGAGGGATGTAGAAAACAAGATTTCCTTTAATCTTGTGAAGTAGGAATATTATGCCTGCTCACATTCCATTAGGAAGACATCTAGCTACAAAGAAGACTAGAAAATACAGAAAATGCAGTCTCAAGCTGAATGGCCATGTACCCAGCTAATAATGTATTATTACGGAAGCAGTAGGAAACCAATTTTAAAGGACAAATAGCAATTTGAGTAAATTTCTGTTTTGAAATTATTTATATAGCCCAGAGCAAGTTATTATGAAAGTCAATTGGATTTCAAGAACAAATATAGTGTAGTGTTTATGAGTATAGGTTCTAGAGGCAGATCAAACAGCTCTAGTCATTTCTGGGTGTGTGACTTTGACAAGTCATTTAATTTTTCTGTGTTTCTGTTTCCTATCCATAAAATGGGTATGGCAGTAATATTGACTTCTACTCTGGGTTTAAATAAGTTAATAAAGGAGAAAAGCTTAAGAGGTGTCTGGCTTAGAGTGAGCACAATTTAGGTGTTAGCAATTATTGTATGTATTTCTACAGGTGCCAAATAAATATTTTTGAATGAATAAACAACCTAACTGGTAGCTCCATGTATTAAATGACTCTGGAAATTTATATTTTGGGATGTCTTATGTTCAATTTTCATAGATTTCTACTTTTAGCCCACTTCTACATTCTCAATTATTACTTCTTTCTAGTATCAGAGTATCATACTCTAGAAGCCTTCCATTTCTAATTGTTTATAGTAACTGTGGATTTCTATCAAATAATTAAACTTATTAAGGCTGTGTGTAAAGCGGAATTTAATAGGCTCTGGCAGACAATCTAAGGGACATTTTTATGACACAAAGTTAGCATAGTTTTAGTGCATAGTGTTTAAGAATCTATTTTTGTTGTTTAAGGACATTTTTAGTTTATTTTCTGTGCCTATACATAGTGTTAGGAAATATCTTCAGAAAAGTGAGTTATGGTTTGTTATACACATATAGGTAATTATCAAAATCTCAATATAGGCTTGAATTTTGAAGTATAAAGAGTTTTCAAGAAACAATTATCACCACATATTGAAGAGAGTGGAAATTTATCTTACTTTCTGAAGAAAATCAGGCAGAGCAAACAGAAATCTCATTAGAATTTATTGGTAACAATATTTATGAGGAAGTCATCCTTGGGTCTACAGATTTCCAGAAATTAGAGAATCTCAAAGTAAACATGGGGTATGTACTAAGGCGTATCTCTTTGAAGTCACTTGCACGGATGCTGCCTAAGAAAGAAGAATATTTCTGCCTCTGTGACTTTTAAAATCTCATATTCTGTATTCTGGCCTGCACTAGTCCAGTGTTTATTCCTAGTCTGTTTTGTTGCAATTGCAAAGCAAAACTGTTATATTTGCACTGCTAGGGGGAAAAAAGGAAGTTTTAGTAGCAGTGTACATTGAAGTGCAAAGGAGTGTGTGTGGGAAAGCGTGTGTGTGTGTAAGGAGTCTCGTGTTATCTGCCCAACATCTTCTCAGACACCTCAGCATGCAGAAATCCTGGTAATTGATCTTGAAAACGTGTATGACAGTTGGTTAATGCGAGTATCAGTTGTCTCTCTTTTTTTTTTTTTTTTTCCTGAGATGGAGTCTAGCTGTGTCGCCCAGGCTGGAGTACAGTGGTGTGATCTCTGCTCACTGCAACCTCCGCCTCCCGGGTTCAAGCGATTCTCCTGCCTCAACCTCCCGAGTAGCTCAGATTACAAGCGCCCACCACCACGCCCAGCTGATTTTTGTATTTTTAATAGAGACAGCGCTTCACCATGTTGGCCAGGCTGGTCTCTAACTCCTGACCTCGTGATCCACCCGCCTCGGCCTCCCAAAGTGCTGATATTACAAGCGTGAGCAACCACGCCCAGCCCTTAAAAGTATCAGTTATCTTAATTGCTGCTTTCTCAAAATTCTGAGATAACTGTAAATAAAAAGCAATATTCCTGTTTGGATAAGGTAAAACAAGGTGTTCGAATTTCCTTTAGTGGAAGTCAGTATATCTAAGAGTGAAGATACTAATAAGCATTTTGGGATAAAATAATGATTAAATGGCCTATCATCTTTATGTCATCCATTTCACCCCATCAGAAAAAAAAAAAAAAAAAAAAAAACAAGAACAAAACACCTCCAGTAGTTGCAGCACAGCAACTTCTTTAGATGACAATTGAATTCTGCACTTGATCTTAGCCAAAAGGTATAGATGACAATTGAACTGTAAATATTCATCACATCTCTAGGAAGAGTCTAGAGATTTAAGGATACCAAATTTCTAATTTGATTTCTATGTTTGGCTAAATATCCTTTAGTAAAGAACCAGTGGGACCTATCTTTTATTACGTAATAAGATCCTTGAATTGGGTAATTAACAACATAATGATTACAAAAGATATTCAGAAGTCTTAATACTGAAAGTCTTCTTTGTACCTGCCTGAAGAGCACACATTTTTGTTCCTTAGTCCACTTCACAGATTTTCTTCCCTGGCCTTTATACAATGGGAAAACATTCCCTTCCTTCTCTGAATATTGCTGTTGTATAGTAGAGACACAGAGCTGTTCATTCATAAGGTTAAAACTAAAACGAGAGACAAAAATAAGGCATATATTAATGGTACACAAAACAAAAGGTTACTGCAGCATGCCCCGGCAATACTTGTCCTGTATGGATAAAATCTGAAGTTTTTTTATAGCTATTATAAATGACGAAAGAAAAAAGACATGCTCCTTGTCCTCCCCTCTTCCTGCCCCACACCCTGTCACCTGCCGTGCACTGTATTTCTTCACTTACGAATGTTAACGAACCACTTAAAACTTAAGTGGTTAAGTTTAAACAGAGGTAGCCAGTGGATTAAGAACACAAATACAATTTGAGTCAGAAGCAATTTTTTCCTTTTCATAGGAGGTTAACATAAGACAGTTCTTGTTGTACTGTTTCTTGTACTTTCTGAAAAAATTCTGACAAAAAGCAATGTAAATGAAATCCATAAAAGACAGGAAAGAAACCTAACTTTTATGTACTATATCCAAATTTCACTTAACAAAGCTCTATATAAAGTAATTTATTACTGTATGTATCATTGAGGTGTTTATATATATAATATTATATATATATACACATATATATATATGCCACTTTCTCTTTAACTTCTCTATAACTAATTCTGAGTATTCACAGCCAGTCAGTGTGAACTGTGCATATTACAAACACCTTCAGCCACTTAGTGTGGCACACACTGGAGTGTGGGTTGCAGTGATTGTTGTTTTATTCTGCTATGAGCTTTTATTTGCCATTCATTTTGTGTTCTCACTGACAGTTTTGGATCCATATAAGACATGCCAGTGATGGTGATGCACTGATGGTGATGCACCTTCCAAAAGAAATAAAGGGAAAATACCATGCAAGCTTAAGGCTTGAAGCAACTTCAAGGAGAGGTCAAAAGAATCAGACGGTAAAGCAGACTGAGAAGTTAAGGGTGAACGTTATGAAGGATAGCATAAAAATCTCTATGGAGTGGGAGGACTGAGCCTCAATTATATGAGCTGGAGTGGAAGAAACTAAGGCCTGAGGATGGTCAAACCCTCAAAGAATATGAGGACAATAGTCATTACTATTATAAAATACAAGAATGCAAATCCATAAGAATTTGGATTTATGACCTGTATTGTGCTCATTCACTCAATATGTTCCTGCATTAATCTGCTTAGGCTACCATAACAGAATACCATACACTAGGTAGCTTTAACAATAGATATTTATTTCCTCACAGTCCTGGAGGCTAGAAATCTTACATCAGAGTGCAGGCATAGTTTAGTTCTGATGAGAGCCCACCTCCCAACTTATAGACAGCCACCTTCTAGCTGCGTTCTCACATAGTGGATAGAAAGGGTGAGCTCCCTGGTGTCTCTTCTTATAAGGAGACTATTCCTATCAGGACCCATTCTTATGGCTTTATTCAACCTGAATTACTTCCTTCCTCCAAATGCAGTCACAAAAAAATTAGAGCATCAATATATGAACTTCAGGGGGACACAATTCAATCCATAGCTGTTCTTTTTCTGGAAATTCTTCCATATTCTCCTACAGTGGTCTTGCGTGTATGTGCAACTGTACAGGCAGAATCTTTACTTTATAATAACTGGACTAGCATGAAAACATTTTGTTTCTGTAAGCAGAAACAAAATCCAAACTGACCTTTCTTGACTAAATGTTTGGCCAAGTCTTTTTCACATTTCATCTCTCTGAAACTGACTCTTCTTTTTTCTTCCATCTTTTAAGGTCCCTGTAATATATTAGACCCAGCTGGATAAATAAGGCAAATTCTCATTTTAAAGTCACCTGATTACAGGCCTTAATTTCATCTAAAGCCTTAATTCCGCCTTGCCATGTAACACAATATCTTCATATGTACCACAGAATATAATGTGGATATCTTTGGTGGACCACTAATTTGCCTCCTGCAATACTCATATGATTATATAGCACTACATTTCTTGTACCTGTAATATAAAAAGAACAAGTAAATAAAATCATTAAGTTTGAAACCTGGATTTGACCTACTATTATTCTCCTCAGCATTTTAATTTCTGGCTTCCTAAAAATGGGCCTTTTCAAATTAAATAATACTCAAATCAGATTCTGGATGTAAAGTACATTTAATCAATGGCACACAATTCAACTGTCCTCCAATTCTCTTTAGCATACAGTCAGCTGACATTTGCAAATTTTGAAACATTTTAATAAAGAGACTAACACAAACTTTGGGATAGGGAATATACTGAATTTGAAATTAAAGTTCAGCATATTCCAATTTCAAACTGTGAAATGTTTTAAAGAGGGAGTACATATTAGCAAAGAAATGGCCATATTTAATGTCGATTTTGAAATATGAACTTTTTTCTATTACTGTTAAGTACACAATTGGCTGTTAAAAATAATTACTATTCCAATTATATTTTGTACAGAGAGAATATAAAACTACTGTAATGTTACTTTCATGATCCTGGAAAATGCTTACATTTATGTTACTTTATACAACAATACACTCTTTTTCAAATAATATATAAACATACATATTTATTTTAAATGTCATATTTACTAAATCCTTATTATATGCAGTGTTTAGAAGGACACAAAATTGTACAATATATTGACCCTCTAGAATTTACAGATCTAGTAGGAGAAGAAAAATCTATATATATATATATATAAGATATTACCTTTTATATCTTATGTTTTCTTTTAATGCAATTAACATAAATATAATTTTTTCCATTTTTAATTTTTAAGATCAAAACTACAGTTTTGAATTAATATAATTCAGTTAATTTTACCAAAGGTCTTTTGGGAGAATGTGACAAACAAACTCCATGTTTTTGTATTAAAGAACTCTGTGTTCTTTAGTTGAATGAGCATAGCTGTTTTGCTCCTTTAGCTTCTGAACACATATTCTCGCAGTAATCAAAAGTGAGGGTAAAAATAATTAAAGCATCAAAAGGGTCAGTACCTGCACACACACACACACACACACACCCACCTTATATTCATGGATCATGTATTAAAATTACAAAAAAAGAGGAAAAACTAAGTTGTATAAATATTTCATGCTTAGTCCTGGCGTATAAAATTAAGTGATAAACTAATAAATAAAGAATTCTTAAAGAATTACAGGCATACCTCATCTCATTGCACTTTACTTTATTGTGTCACATATGTTTCATGTTTTACAAATTGAAGGTTTGTGGCAACCCCACAACAAGATTGGCACAACTGTTCCAACAGCAGATACTCCATTTCTCTGTGTCATATTTTAGTAATATTGCAATATTTCAAGCATTTTCATAATTATTATATCTGTTACAGTGATCTATGGCCAAAGATCTTTGATGTTAATATTGTCATTTTGGGGGGGTTCCCATAAATTACACCCATATAAGATGGCAAACTTAATAAAGGTTTATGTTCTGACAATTAAACTGACTGGCTGTTGCCAAGTCTCTCTCATTCTCTTAAGGCTTCCCTATCCCCTGAGACACAATATTGAAATTAGGCTAGTTAAGAACCCTACAGTGTCCTGTAAGCATTGAAGTGAAAAAAAAAGAGTTGTATATCTTTTACTTTAAATCAAAAGCTGAAAATGATTAAGCTTAGCAAGGAAGGCAGGTCAAGAGCCTAGCTCAGCTGAAATTTAGGCCACTTGCTCCAGTTAGCTAAGTTGTGACTAGAAAGGAAAAGTTCTTGAAGGAAATTAAAAGTGTTACTCCAGTGAACACACAAATAATACAAGAGCAAAAAGCCTTATTGCTGATATATAGGAATTTTGAATGGTCTGGATAGAAGTCCAGCCAGCCACAACATTCCCTTAACAGAAGCCTAGTACAGAGCAAGGCCTTAACTATCTTCAACTCTATGAGGCCTGAGAGAAGTGAGGAAGCTACAGAAGAAAAGTTGGAAGCTGTCAGATAATGGCTCTTGAGGTTTAAGAAAAGGGGCCATTTCAATAACATAATAGTACCAGGGGAAGCAGCAAGTGTTAATATAGAAATGTAGAAGCAGTAGCAAGTTATCCAGAAGGTCTAACTAAAATAATTGATGAAGGTGGCAGGTGGATACATTCTTTCTCCCTTCCCCTCCCCTCCCTCCCCTCCCCTCCCTCCCCTCCCCTCTCTCCCCTCCCTCCCCTCCCCTCTCTCCCCTCCCCTCCCCTCTCTCCCCTCCCTTCCCCTCCCCTCATCTCCCCTCCCCTTCCTTCCCTATGCCTTCCCTCTCCCCTCCTTTCATCTTCTTCCTCCTCCTTTCTTCTTTCTTCTTCCCTCTTCCACCTTTCTCCTCTTCCTCCTCCTTCTTCTCTCTCTTTCTCTCTCTCTCCTCTCTCTCCCTTTTTCTGAAAGACAGGGTTTCACTATGTTGTCCAAGATGGTCTTGCACTCCTGGGTTCAAGCAATTCTCCTGCCTCAGGCTCCTTAGTATCTGAAACAACAGCTGTATGCCACTGCCATCAGCTTTGATTTTCCATGTAGGTGAAACAGCATTCTATTGAAAGAGGATGTCATCTAGGACTTACATAGCTAGAGAGGAGAAGTAAATGCCTAGGTTCAAAGCATCAAAGGACAGACTGGCTTTCTTGTTAGGAGCTAGTGTAGCTGCTGACTTTAAGTGGAAGCTAATGCTCATTTACCATTCTAAAAGTTTCGGAGTCCTGAAGAATTATGCCAGTGCTACTCTGTCTATGCCCTATAAATTGAACAACAAAGCCTGGACGATAGCACATATGTTTACAGCATGGTATACTGAATGTGTAAGCCCACTGTTGGAATCTAATCCTCTGGGAAAAAAAAGATTCCTTTCAAAATATTATTCATCATTAACAATGCATCTCATCACTGAAGAGCTCTGGTGGAGATGCACAAGGAAAGGAATGTTGGCCTTTTATTGTTACACAGTAACTAACTGTACATATTTATGGGGCGCATGTAATATTTTAATAAATGCATATAATGTATAATGATCAAATCAGGGTATTTAGGATATCCATCACCTTAAACATTTACGATTTGTGTTCAGAAGATTTCAAATTTGTCTTCTAGCTACTTTGAAATATACAATGAATTACTATGTAGTCACCCTACTGTGCTACCGAACACTACAACTTATTCCTTCTATCTAACTGTACATTTGTACTTACTAACCAACCTCTTTTCATCATCCACCCCCACCACCACCATTCCTAGACTCTGGTAACCATTATTCTACTCTCTGCCTTCAAAAGATTAACGTTTTTATCTCCCACATATGAGCGAGGACACATGATGTTTGCCTTTCCGTGCCTGGCTTATTTCACTTAACATAATGACCTCCAGTTCCACCTATATGGCTATGAATGACAGGATTTTGTCCTTTCTATGGAGGAATAGTACTCCATTGTGTATATGTACCACATTTTCTTTATCTATTTACCCACTGATGGACACTTAGGTTGATTCCTTATCTTGGCTATTGTGAATAGTGCAGATCTCTCCTTGATTTACTAATTTTATTTCTTTTGGATGTGTGTGTGTGTATATATATATGTGTATACATATATACATATATACGTATATACGTATATATACATATATACGTATATACGTATATATACATATATACGTATATACGTATATATACATATATACGTATATATGTATATATACATATATACACACATACACATATATATATACCTTTATATATAGATAGATAGATAGATAGATTATATGGTAGATCTATTTTAGTTTTTTGAGGAGGCTTGATACTGTTTTTCATAGTGGCTGTACTAATTTACAGTTTTACCAACAGTATACTGGTGTTTACCTTTCTCCACATACTTGCCAACATCTGATATTTTTGTCTTTTTGATAACATTTTAACTGGGGCAAGATGATAAACTTGCTTGACGCAATCTTTCAATTTGTTAAAAAAATGCAGTATGCGTGAAGTACAATAAAGTGAAGCACGCTAAAACAAGATATGCCTGTATTTTACTTGCTAAATTAATTTGCTATTACTGTTTTAATTCATAAGATAGAAATTTAGATTATTTAGTTTCATAATTTTCTTTTCTTATTTATGCATTTGATTCTATTATTTTTAAGCATGCTTTTCACTGTTTTCCACAGGTTTTCACATATTCTATTTCTATTAAATTCAGTTCAAATTAATTTATAATTTTGTTTGTGTTTTTTTTTTTTTTTTTTTACTCATGGTTTATCTTAGCATAGTGTGCTTAATTTATAAAACTTTGGTATTGTTTAGATTTTTAAAACATTGATTTCTAACTTAATTCCTTTCGAGAAAAAGAACATGCTTGGAAATTATTTTAATGCTTTGAAAAATTTTCAGTCTTACTTTAGGTCTCAATATACTGCCATTTTGGTAAACATTGTATGGGCATTTGAAGAAAAGATTTTTCAGTCACGTTGAATTTAGTGTTTTTTATGTAACAATTACATTAATCTTTTTTTAGATCTTTTATGTCTTTTCTAATGTATTTTTCTTTATATTCCATCAACTAGGAAAAAAAAGTTTGTTTTAAAGTCTCTCATATGTGACATGGATTTTCAATTTCTTCTTTTACTTCTGTCAATTTTTGCTTCATGTATTTTGAAGCTCTGATACTCAGTAGATATAGATTTTATTTATCTACATATCTTCCTTGTGGGTTGACACTTTTATTTTCATGAAATATATTTCTATTTCTAATATGTCTTGTGGAATTAAAGTTGACTTTAGTGCTGATATAGTTTCACCAGTTTTATTTTGCCTAATGTTGGCATAGTATATCTTTTTCTGTATTTCTAAGTTTAACTTTATTGAATTTGTGTTTAACACATGTTTTTATATTTAAAGTTAAGGTAAATTCTTATATTTGAGGTCTATCTCTTGTAAGCAGTGTATAATTGGATTTTTATAAAATTATTGATATATTTACTTTTATATTTATCATCTTATGATTTGTTTTATGTTTGCCATCTTTTTAATATTCTCTTTTTCTCTCCATTTTGCCTATTGTTGAATTAAGTTAGTTTTATTATATGACATTTCCCGTTAAAGAAAAAAGTTAAAGAGAAAAGTTAGGCATTCTTTTACTATTATTTTAAGTAGATATTGTAAAGAATATAAAATGCGTTTTTTGAGTTAGTATATAGATATTATAAAATCTAATATATATTTAAATTAATATAAAATATAGTTAATATAAAATATTATTTTTCTACTTTCAATAAAATTTTCAACTAAGTTCCTATCAGTTTTCTCACCCTTTCATTGAAAAAAAGTGTTTGCTTCTCTGTAGTAGTTCCTTAGTTAAAATTTTGCTAATTGCATCTTGTATTGTCATATTGCTATGCCCTATGGTTCTTTCCAATTAGTAATTGGATATAGAGGCTTTATCTGATTTGAATTTGATTTTTTTTTTACCTAGTACATGTCGTAGATTGTGATGTGTATTTCTAGTAGGTGGTATGTAATATATAATTGTCTGTCTTTCAGTGATCTTATTGGCCAATGGAGTACTTTCAAATTGGAAATACACAGAAAACCTAAAAAAATGAAAAACTTATCTCAAATATTGTGAGAATTTAAAATATAACTAGTTATAAAACACAACATACAAAAATTAATAGCATTCATATATGCAACAAAATTGGTTAGATGATGTAATGGAAGAAAAGAGTTCATCACTATAGTAATAAATAAATAGATAGAAAGACAAGTAGATATAAAGTACCTAGATGAAACTTAACAAAATACAAAAGTTGACTGGAAGAAGTGGAAAGGCATACTATGTTCTTGATTAAGCAATCTCAACATTATAAAGTTACGAATATCCCTACAATAAACTATAGAATTAAAACAGTTGCAGTATAAACATCATCAGTTTCAACTATCTCCACCCCCAGAACTTAAATTGACTATAAAGTTTGCTTGAAAAAACAAACTAGCATAAATATCTAGAAAAAGAGAAACAGAAGAAGGTAAAAACAATTGTATATGGGAGTAGGGGTGGGAGTGAGTAGTCTCTGCCGATATTAGAATATATTGTAAAGCCCCTATAATTAAGATAGTGTTGTATTAGCCCATGAATAGAGAAATAAATCAACAGAGCAGAATTAGAAAAAGAAAACATAAGTAAACTTTTGGTATTTGAATATAGACATTTGATAAAATATTTGATAAGGGTGCCATTTCAAATTAGGTGGATAAAGATGGAGTTCTTAATAAGTGGTATTATTCCAACTAGATATCATTACAGAAAATAATAAGATTGAAACCTAATCTTAAATCACCTGCATTTATGTGTGTATGTGTTGGGGAGCCATCCTCCAGTGTGCTCTATTAGATAGGCTGTCCTGTACAGCTATCTCTAGTGTGACCACCTATCTCTTGTCTAATCTTATTGTGTTTGTCTAGTTCTAGTGTTGATTCCTGCCTCAATCAGTTGGAGCAGATGCATATGATTACATTCAATTATCAGTTTACATGCCACTGCATAATATATTTGAAACAGATTTTTAAAGTCACATTTCTTAAAAGGTATCTGTGTTTATTATAGACACAAGAGCTTCAAGATCTTCCCTTGCAGCCAGAGTACAATTTAATGAAATGACCTAATTATTAATGAATATTATATGTAATGTACATATTCAAAAGGAGTAGTACAACTTATTATTCAAAAAACTAATAGGCCATTGTTTCAGATTTTTAATTTCTCATCTAATCTCTTCTCAAATCTTTTTCAACTTTCTTTTGCATAGTTCATTTGACTTGGAATCTGATGAAATAATTCTGACTTCTTGATAAGCTCTTGAAATAAGCCCCTGTTACTATGGGAAGGTATCCAAAATTTATGGATCAGTAATCTGATCCAGACTGGCAACTCCTATGGAATGAACTAAATTTCCCTTTTACTGTGTTCACCCTCTCACATGAAGCATCTAGTCACAGCTCTATTCAACCACCGCAAACCACTCTTCAAAAATCACTTCCACAGGGCATGCTCCTCCTTTTCATATAGCATCCAATTTTCTATGACTGTCTTGATAAATTGGATGAATCTTTGTGTGAATGTCATGTCTGACATTTTTTGTAGTTGAATGTCTTCCTTCTGTAGCACAGATTCCAGGCTTTCTGAATAACTAAGATTCAATATAAGATTCAATACAAGATTCTATATATTCAATCATGTATATATAGATGAGTCTTGGCTGGTAACAAACAATGTAATAAAGTCCAAAAGAGGCGTAAGTTTGAAAAGATTAGCAGAAATGTTTTTCCAATCATTCTAGAAAATATATTGAGAAAGAGGTAGAGGATATAATAGTACCAGACAAAATTTTCAAAGTTTTGAGGTCCTAGTAAGATTTTCAGGATAGTAGGAAGAGTCACAAGAATGTTAGATTCTAGTCTTGCCTCTTTTAGTTCTATGACTTTGATGCAATAACTTCAGTTTAATTTTCTTGTTTATATCAATGAAAGATTGGCCCAAATAATCATTAACAGCCTTTAACATTTGACTTTGGTTAATCTAAACTTTGATACCAGACATAGACAAGACTGGATTTTCAAGTGGCTAAGCCTGACCACTTTGTTTTGAGGGAGACAGGGAAGACTCCCTTTCAAAAATAATTCACTTAACTTATGCTCTGGATTTGCAATTAAATGTATGGCATCTTTGTAATTATACAAGCTGAACTGATTCCTTACAGCTTACCAACATATGAATCCAGACCTAGAATAAATGTTGCTCTCTAAGTAGAGTAAAACTACTCTACTCAGGGACAGAAATAGGGGAGGAAACTACTTTTAAAAGAGGAGGTAGAAACATTTTTCTACTTTGAAATCAATCTCAGTCAACTTTTTCAAAAAACAGCAGTCAACCTCCAGGTGACTTTCCAATATGATTTTCTCTTTGATTCCCACAGGTATGCTAAACAAGAAGCCTGGGGAGAAAAATCCACTTGATTAAAAGTTGCCTATGGGAAGAGATTTGGCAGCACCATTATCCTTTCTAGATTTCTAATCTTCAGAAAAAATTGTATTATATAAAATTCCTAAGATGTTTAGATCAAAAGCAGAGCTTAAAAGAAGATATATTCGGTGGTGAATGACAATGCATGTTAAGACATGCAAGTTTATGTTACAGAAATATGAAACAAATGGAAGAGGAATGAGCAACCTATTGTGACATAATATTTAGATACCTATCTGTCCTGGCTTTCCTAAATGTGCATCAAAATAGTTATGAAAAAGTTGTAAAATATTGGACAAGCATATATGCATGTAATATAATAAAATCCAGATAAGACAAAAATTCAAGAAAATAGCTTGAAAATAGATATGTTCATTAATTAATCCTAGAAAATCAATAATACAGCAGAGGCTATGATTACACAGCATAATAACTTTAAACTTCTGGGGTTCACAAAAGATTTTCTGGGTGGCAGAGAATATTTACAAAAACCCATCCCAGAAAGAGCAGATAGAATTTGCCCTCTCAAAATCAGCACCAGTCTCACAGCAGACACAAACTGGAAATAGGAAAAAATAAATAAATGAAGGTCTCAGCCAACACCAAATACAGAAGAATCATTTTTTACAGGCAGAAAGTAATTATCCAGCTGGAAGTTAGCCAAGACACCAGAGAGAGTGAACATCCCTATTCTGTCTCAAAATTCTGTGGGATTTTTAATGAACACAAATGGTCATGACCTTGAGTTTTATGCTCCATCCACAAAAAGAACTTAACAGCAATGCTAGGCTGTTTCCTTCCCTCTACCCCTGCTGCAGGGTAGAGGGAACCACAGATTAGGGATTCTGTGAATTCCATGTGGATAATGAGGACCCCTGTACAAATTGTTCAGTTCAATTAAATGACTAATTTTACAGGATAGCAACCTTGCTATTTGGCTGCTAATGTCAGACTGCAAAACTGCTTAATGAATTCCTAACAAGGAATTAAGTATTTTAATAGTAAAGTGGATATCATCTATAAGGACTTACTACTGCTTTTGCTGCCACTTGGAATACCTCGTGTATTCTCCCCAACACCAGTTTTACTTTTGTTCATTAGTCATGGCTTCCCTGTCTCAGACTAATTTTGTACACTTGCATTTTATTTTCAGAGAATGGATGACAGATTAGCCAGATTGCACATCATAATAAGCAAGAATCCATGTCATGTAAATCACAGAGCCGAGCATCCACTTCTCTCTGCCAAAGGCAGTAGTCTTGGAAGTTGCCAGCTAAAATGACAGCCCTCAGGTTGCATACCAAGCATCATTCATGAGAGAGTAGAGCTTCTTAACATGAACAACATATGACTTTACAGGTACAGCCCACAGATTACCAAAGAGAAAAATTGTCTAGAAGGGCACTGTTATAATGGGACTGTAGTGAAGTAACAGAAAGGAAACGATGTACATTTATGCACAAGACCTTGTACTAAAAATTGTATATATATTCTTTCATTTGGTCTTTTCAGCAATTGAATACGTAACATTAATGTTTTTTAACAGACGAGGTAGAGGGATATTATGAGGAACCCAAGCAACTAACACTCTTTTTCCACCTTCCCAAGCTTCTTTAGAATTAAAAACACAAAACACACACCAACACACACAAACCAAGCCTAGAAGTTCAAGCTGTTCACAGATTTGAAAAGAGAAATATTGTGGTATGAATATTCCCTACTTTTGTGTTGTATCTATTGGAAAACCACAACAATTAATTTGTGGTATAAAGGCATAAATCCAGAGAATGATGTTGTATTGTGTCAGTCATTTCTCTATTTTTTTCCTGGATGCTTTTTCTCACTTTATGTGCATCACTCTATGAAAGGGCCAGCTCTTTAAAGCTATATTTCCCATCTTGCTATCTTGCTTCTATCAGAGTTCAGTTAATGATAGAAAATTGGAATAACACTGAAGGACAAGAGAAAGAAAAGCCAGGGTGTGTCCACTCTCTCTGCTTCCGGCGGTGGGCAGTGACTTTGTTCTCTCCTCTAGCTTCAACTCTTACCAAATTACCCTGCTTCCCAGATCGCAGCTGTTGATGGGGAACCCAACTTCAGTTCACAATCTGGTAACACTCTCTCCTCCCTTTGTCCTTTCAGCCTGGCGGTGATAACTGCTGGTTTGCCTTTTCCCTTTCTTGATGGCATAATTTGCAGCACAAAAGTTAATTTTGATGAAGTGCAATGTATTTTTTTTCTTTTGTCATGTGTGCTTTGCATGTTATATATAGAATCTATTGACTAATTTAAGGCAAGAAATATACACTCCTATTTCTTTTCTAACACTGCTATAATCTTAGTTGTTACTTTTAGATCTATGGACCCTGTATGTTGTGAGGTAGAAGTCAAGCTGTATTATTTTCATGTGGCTATCCAGTTATCCCAGGACTATTTGTTGAAAGACTATTCTTACTCCCACTTAACTGACTTGATACACTTGATTAGTATAGCTTTGTAGTCAGTTTTGAAACGGGAACATATGAGTCCTTCATATTTGTAATTTATTTTCAAGATTTTTTTGGCTATTCTGAGTTTCTTTTCTTTTCTTTTCTTTTCTTTTTTTCTTTTTTTTTTTTTAGATGGAGTCTCACTCTGTCGCCCAGGAGTGCAGTGGCGCGATCTCCGCTGACTGCCAACTCCGCCTCCCTGACTTAAGTGATTCTCCCATCTAAGCCTCCGGAGTAGCTGAGATTACAGGCTTGCGCCACCACGCCCAGCTAATTTTTTTATTTTTAGTAGAGGCGCGGCTTCGCCGTGTTGGCCAGGCAGGTCTCGGATCCTGGCCTGAAGTGATCCGCCCGCTTCAGCCTCCCAAGGGGCTGGGATTACAGGCGTGAGCCACCGCGCCAGGCCTATTCTGGGTTTCTTACGTTTCCATGTGAATTTTGGATCAGCATGTCAATTTCTGCCAAGAAGCCAGCTTGGATTTTGAGAGGGATTGTGTTGAATATGTAGATAAATTTGGGGAGTTTTGCCATTTTAATGATAAGTCTTCCAATCCATGATGATGAAATAACTTTCTATTAATGTTTATTTTGGTTTTATTTCAATAATTTTTGTTTTCATTAACAAATTTCCAATAACAAGTCTAGCCTATATTTTGTGATTTTTATTTCTAAGTATTTTATTCTTTTTCATGCCATTGTCAATAGCATTTATTAATTTGGTATTTACATTGTTCTCTGTTAGTTTATAGAAATAAAATTAATTTTTATATTGACATTGTATCCTGCAAACTTGATGAATAATTTTTATTTGTATATTTCTTAAGAATTCTATGTACAAGATAACGTCATCTGCAAATAGAAATAGTTTATTCCTTCCCTTCTAATCTGGATGCACTTTATTTCTTTTTCTTGCTTAATTATCCTGGCTAGAAGATATGGTACAATGTTGAGTAGAAGTGGTAAGAGCAAATATTCTTATCCTGTTCCTAATTTTAAAGTGAATCCATTCAGTCTTCTATTATTAGGTACGATGTAGCTGTGATTTTTCATAGAAGCACTTTATCAGGTTGAGAAGACTCTTTACTATTCTTAGTTTGTTGAGTCTTTGTATTTTGTTTTGCTTTGTTCATCATGAAAAATGTTGAATTTTTTCAGTTGTTTTTTCTGTGCTGAGAATATTATGTATTTTTTGTTCTTTAATATATTAATTTGGTGTATCACATTGAATGAGTTTTTATGTTAAAACAATCTCATATTCCTGGACCAAATCCCATGGATCCATGAAAAATAATCCTTTTTATATTTTGTGGATTTAGTTTGCTAGTATTTTGTTGATAATTTTTATATCTATATTCATAAGGGATATTGGTGCACAGTTTTCATGTCTTGTGTTATCTTTGTCTGGTTTTACTAGAAGGGCAGTGCTGGCCTCATAGTGTATTTTGTCTTCATCTACCTTTTGTAAGATTTTTGTGAATAATGGGTATTAACCATTTACATATTGGTGGAATTCACCAGTAAAACCATCTTGGCCTGAAATTTTTTTGTGGAAAACCTTTAAATTATTAATTTCTTTATTTGTTTTTGGATATTCAGATATTATACTTTATCTGAAGTCAGTGTGAGCAACTGGTGTCTTTCTAGGACTTTTAATTTCATATAGGTTTTCTAATTTGTCGGTGTACAGTTATTCGTCACATTTCCCTATGATTATTTTTGTTTCTGTTAGATCAGTAGTAATATCCTCTCTTTTCCTCTATTTTTCTCCTGATTTCAGTTATTTGTATCTTCCTTCTTTTTTATGTAGTTCTAGCTAAAGGTTGATGAATTTGTTGATCTCTTCAAAGAGCAAACTTTTGGTATCATTAATTTTCTCTATTGTTTTTCTTTTCTTTACATTATTTATGTCTTCCCTAATCTTTGTTATTACTTCCTTTTGTTTGCTTTGGGTTTTCTTTGCTCTTTTGCTTCTGATTTCTTAGAGTAGAAGAAATAGTAGTACAATGTAGTAGTAGAATATTGATTTGAAATACATCTACTTTTATATATAGGCTTTTGTAGCTAACAATTTTCCTCTAAGGACTGCTTTGGCTGCATCCTACAAGTTTTGGTATGTTGTGTTTTGTTTTTTTCATCTTAAAGCATTTTCTAATTTTCCTTGTGATTCTTCTCTGATGCACTGGTTATTTAGAAGATTTTTTAAAAATTTCACATATTTGTAAATTTCTGAAATTTCCTTCTTTGTTTATTTCTAATTTTAATCAATTGTGGTCAAAAACATATTTTCCATGCTTTTAAGCCCTTTACATTTATTGAGGCTTTTAAAATGCCCTAATACAGGCACACCTTGAAGAATGTTCTATGTAAACTTGAAAAGAATGCATATTCTGTTGTTGAATGAGAGTTCTCTAAATGTCTGTTAAGTGTAGTTGATTTATATCGTTGCTCAAGTCTTCTATATGCTTGTTCTATTTGTTTTCTTATGCCTGGTTGTAGTACTGATTATTGAAAGCAAGTGTCTTATTCTGTTCAGGCTGCTATAACAAAATGAGTTAGACTGAACAGTTTATAAATATACATTTACTTCTCATAGTTCCAAAGGTGGAGAAGTTTAATATCAAGGCACTGGCAGATTTGACATCTGGTAAGGGCTCACTCTGTGCTCCATAGATGGTGGTGTGTGATGAATCCTCACATGGAGAAATAACTTTCTCTCACTTCTTTTCTAAAAGCCCCCACGTCTGAATATATCTCTACATTAATATTCACCACATGAATTTTTGAAGGACACAAACATTCAAACCATAATAGTGGATACTAAAGCCGTCTACTATAATTGTGTTGCCTGTTTCTTCCTTTAATTCTGTCACTTTTTACTTTATGCATTTTAGTATTCTGTTGTTTGGTATATTTATGTTTCTAATTGTTATCTTTTATTTATAGAATGAATCTTTTATCACCATAAATTATGTTCTTTTGTCTCTACAAAGATATTTACCTTAAACTCTATTTTTCTGATATTAATAGTGCCAATTTAAATCTACTTTAATTATTGTTTCCATGGCATATCTTTTTCATCTTTTTACATTCTTTTTTGTTTTGTTTTTTGAGATGGGGTCTCACTGTGCCACCCAGGCTAGAGTACAGTGGCATGATCTCAGCTCACTGCAACCTCCACCTCTCAGGTTCCAGTGATTCTCCTGTCTCAGCCTCCCGAGTAGCTGGGACTACAGGCATGTGCCACCATGCCCAGCTAATTTTTTTTTTTTTTGTATTTTTAGTAGAGATGGGGTTTCACCATGTTGGCCCAGTTGGTCTCGAATTCTTTACCTCAAGTGATCTGCCCTCCTTGGCCTCCCAAAGTGCTGGGATTACAGGCATGAGCCACCATACCCAGCCCCATCTTTTTAATTTCAACCTATTTGTTTCTCAGAATTTAGAGTGTGTCTCTTGTGGACAGGATATGGTAACATTGTTTTTTATTTGTTTTGCTAATCTCTGACTTCATTAACAGATTAGTATACTTAATCTATTTATATTTAATGTAGTTATCTTTTTTTTCTTTTTGAGACAGAATCTCACTACATTGCCCAGGCTGGAGTGCGGTGGCACAATCTCGACTTACTGCAAACTTCGCCTCTGGGGTTTAAGCGATTCTTCTGCCTCAGCCTCCTGATTAGCTGAAATTACAAGCGTATGCCACCACACCTGGCTAATTTTTATATTTTTAGTAGAGTTGGGGTTTCACCATGTTGTGCAGGCTGGTCTTGAACTGCTGGCCTCAAGTGATCTGCCCACCCTGGCCTCCCAAAGTGTTGGAATTATAGGCATGAACCACTGTGCCCAACCTAGTTATCTATTCTTTTATTACTGCCTTGAGTTAGATATTTTCTAGTGTAGCATTTTAATTATCTTGTTTCTTTTGATATATTTTTTAAGTTATTTTCTTACTGGTTAATATAGGATTAAAATTGGCTTTTTAGCTTAAAATAAAGTAGTTTGGGTTATACTAACTTAAGTATATAAAAATTTTGTTCCAAAATACATCCATTACCTCCACCCTCTTTTGTGCTATTGTTGCCATATAAATCATATTAATTTTATACATGATATACATAATTTGTACAGTATTATATCATATATGATATATATGAATTACATATATATTCACAAATACACACACACATAAATACAGTGTAATCCCATCCGAAAGTTTTGTAATTATTGCTTCATGCAATTGTCTTTTAATTAAATAGGAGAAGAGCTATAAACCAAAACACGTAGATACTGTCTATTATGTTAATCTCTTATGTAATCTAATGGTAGTTACCTTTACCCATGCTCTTTACTTCTTTACATAAATCTGAGTTACCATCAAGTAACTCAAATTCAGTTCAGCTCTTTCAATTCAGCTGGATTAACTTCTTTTAGCATTTCTTATAGCAAGTTTGTCAGTTTTTCTTTAATCTGGTAATGTCTTAATATCTTCCTTATTTTTGAAATATAGTTTTGCTTTATTTAGAATCACTGGTGCTGACAGTCTTTTTCTTTCAATATTTTGTATATGTCATTGAACTGCCTCCTTCTTGGTTTCTGATAACAAGTTAGCTGTTGATCTTATTGAAAATTAACTGTATGTGATGACTTCTTTCTTGCCACTTTAAAGATTCCCTTTGTCTTTGAAAGTTTGATTATGACATTTTTATGTGTGGATCTCCATGATTTTATCTTACTTGAAATTTGTTGATTTTCTTGACTATGTCAATTAATGTTTTCATTGAATTTTAAAAGTTTTCAGACATTATTATTCATCTTTTTTTAATCTGTACATTTATTTGTCTATCTCTTCTTCTGAGGCTTTCACTGGTATGCTTGATAGTGTCCCATAGATCTGCTGTTGAAACCTTTTAATAAATATTTTATTTTAATTATCGTATTTTTCAACTCTAGAATTTTTATTTTAAACATACTTTTTTACCTCTTTATTGATATATCTGGTGAGACTTTCTTTTAATTGTTGTCATGCTTTCTTTTAATTCCTTAGATGTGATTTTCTTTTCTTCTGAACATATTTATAATAACTTATTTAAAACATTTGTCTGTTAAATCCAATATCTAGGCTACCTCAGAGATAGTTTCTCTTGATGTATTTTTTTCTTTGTGTGAGTCATAATTTTCTGTTTCTTGTGTCTCATAATATTAATGAAAATTGTGCACTTAAAATTACATACTGTGGCAACTCTAGAAATTTAATCCCTCTGCCTCTTTCCCCATAATTGTTGCTATTACTGTTTTTGTTGCTAATGCTGTTGTTCTGATTGTTTAGGAATCTCTTGAACTAATTCTGCAATGTGTATATTTCTTACAGGGTGCAGCCGCTGAAGTTACTGCTTGGTTAGCTTGGTGGTCAGCTGAAGATTTGTGAAAGATTTTCTTAAATACATAAGGAGCTCTATGTGTATATTTCAGCATGCCTTAAACATTTATGCTATTCACAATTCTGTGTTGGCTTTTGTATCTTGCCTGCAAAAGTCCTCAAGGTCGTTCAGAATGAAAGAGTTGACCCCTTGCATGTGGTTCCTGGCCATGCACACAGCCCTACACAGAAGTTACCTTTTAGATTCCTTGGAAATTTTCAGGTTTTAAAAACCCTACTATAGTTGTCTTCAGATTTTTTTTTTTAAATTTTTTGCCAGACCCTTCTTTGTCCTAACTTGTATCACAGCCTCAGGGAACAGCAATGTTTATTAACTATTCCTAATGGTTTTTAGGAAATTTTTTGAGGCTAGAACTTTTCTCATAGAACAAGTTCTGAGTCAGATTAAATAATGACAGCACTCTGTAAAGGGGGTTTTTCCAGGAAGCTGAAAAAGAGGTAAAATAGTGAAAGTGTTCTGGAGGTGGGACTTTTTGGGAAGCTTCAAATATGCTCTGCCCTCTGTAGGCTGAAAATCTCATTTTTACAGCCACCATTGTTGTAAGACTGCTCTTTTCAAGGCTACTGTGGAGCTGGGCATGGGGATTAGATACTGGCTAAATTAAAACAAATAAACAAAAAATCTTGCTATTCTTGCTGAGATTGATTATTTTTTCTTAAATAAATGTTCCTCAGAGTGTGGAAGTATTTTCTTAATTTTCAGAACTCTGAAAAAGTTGATTTTGACATGTTTCTGCTAGTTTTTTTTGGGGGGGGCAGATATATTTATGAAGATCCTCACTCTACATTCTTCACCTAAAGAGGAATATTTTAATATAACTGCCTCAGTGTGCACGTATAAAAGCAACTGTTAGGAATAGACTAGAGTAGTACCCAATATAAATATGTAAGCAAAAAATGCAAGCCATATTTTCTAAGATAAATATTTAGTTGTCATATTAAAATACTCAAAGAGAAACAGGTGAACTTGGCTGGGCACAGTGGCTCACGCCTATAATCCTAGCACTTTGGGAGGCTGAAGTTGGAGAATCATTTGAGGCCAGGAGTTTAAGACCAGACTGGGCAATGTGGCAAAACCCCACCTTTACCAAAAATACGAAAATTAGCCTGGCATGGTGGCACATACCTGTAGTTCCAGCTACTCAGGAGGCTGAGGTGGGAGGATCCCTTGATCCTGGAAGGTAGAGGTTGCAGTGAGCCAAGACTGCACTGTTGCACTCCACCCTGGGCAACAGAGCCAGACCCTGCCAAACAGCAACAACAACAAAACAGGTTAACTTAATTTTAGTCATACATTTAACCCAATATACCCAAATTAATGTTAGTGCAATATGCAACCAATATGAAAATATTTGAGATATTTTAGATTCCTTTTTTAATACGAAATCTTTGAAAGCTGGTACATATTTTGCACTTACATTTTAATTTAGACTAGCCACATACCAAGTGCTCAATAGTTACATATAACTAGTGCATGCCATATTTAATAGTGCAGTCCCAGGGCAAGACTACATGGGCTAATAATATTTTACTTAAAACTCAATTTCCTTAGCTGTTTGTTTGTAGCTTATATCAATTTTCTCAACTTGTGATATAAGAATTTAAAATGGTTTTTACATTATGTGTGTTTGTCAAACTATAGCTTGTTGGCCAAGCTTATTCCACCAGATGCTTTTGTAAATTAAGTTTTGTTGGAATTCAGCCTTGATTATTCATTTATGTATTATCTATGGTTGCCATTGAGCTATAACGCAGAGTTGAATAGTTGAGACAGAGACCATATGGCCTGAAAAACCTGAAGTATTTATTAGCTGATTCTTTATATAAAACATTTGCTGACCCTTGCTTTAAAGATTTGTAGATTAAATTATTTTATAATTATTTTATGTAAAATAATTATAATATTATAACACAATATTAAATTATTTATTAATAATTTAATAATAAATTAAATAATAATTATTTAATTTAATTATTATTAATTAAATAATAATTTATTTGATTATTATTTAATTTATTTATTTAATAATTAAATATTAAATTATAATAAAAATAATATTAAATTATTTTATGTAAAATACTTAGACAAGAGGCTAATACATTGTAAGTAATTTTCATATTAGTTAAAAGTATTATGAATAGAGACAGTGGAAGAGGAAATATGTCTCATAATTATTTGCATCTGAAACTACTGCAAATAAGAGAAAAGAACAGTTTCTCACTGCTATCATATTTAGCCAAAAGTAGTTATTCTTCATTTTTCATTAATTTTAAAGTAGAAAAAGCATTTTTGATTTGGGTCTATATTAATTCTCACGATGTAAAGCATAATTCTTCCAGTATATTTCAAATTGTGGGTTCTTTACCTAAAACCATTTTTAGAAGTTTCCTTTGCAACTGTTTTTTTTTTTTAATTATAAAAAGAATGTTAGCTATCCAAATGTGTTTTCAAAAGTTGTCACTCCAAATCCTTGATTTGTAAGTTCTTATGTATGGGGAGACTAGTAGAAAATTTTAATAGTATCTCAAATGTTGCCAAATATGCCATTGGGTTGATATCTATGCTTTCAGTCTCCCAATAATGGCCTATTTTTTAAATAGGAAAAGTAGTCTATAAGCAGTTTGTCATGAGGGAATCTATCAGTCTTGATCTCATGTAGTAACTTATAGTCATTACCTCCTAGTGGTTTTAAGTACTGAAGGTAACTTGTTTAACTAATACAAATGTCTTATGAAATACATGATAGGAGATCATTGACAAGTAGCTACTGTCTTCTCCCTCTAGTTAGAAAAACTTATTTTGAAATATATTCCGAGCTGTTGGAAAATTTAAGGGAAGTCTCTCTTCTCCTTTTACTTATGCCACATGGATCCAATATTTAGCCAACAATATAGAGTACATATTCTGCCAGATGCTGTGGGCATACTGAAATTAACAGTTGGGACTCAATTCTCCAGAAATTAACATTAAACAACTAAATACAGTACAAGATTGAATGGAATCCACTACCAAGTCAAAGCAGTCATATAATACTGTAAGACAACAGAAGGAAAAAAGGCCAGTCTAACTAGCAAGAGCTGAAAATGCATCACAGATGTGGTACCCTTTGATTTGGGCCTTGAGGGATGATTTGGAATAACCAAATACTTGGAATTGAATGGACAGCTTTGCATAACCCATACTCCCACTGACGATTTTATGAAGAGATTTGGTCAGCACATAAATGAACAGAAATCTGGTGTAACATCAACCTACATACATCCCATAAGGTGTAAACGCTGGGATGATAAAATCTCACTTTACCTAAGGCCAGGAAAGGGCCACTCAAAAACTGAAGAGAACAAAGGAAAGATAAGAGCATCCAGAACAACTGAATAAAGAGCATGCTGTCAGGAATAGCAGAGTTTAAAATATTATATGAGTAAGTCAACTCCATTTAGTGATATAGGGTGTATTAGTCATTTTCACACTGCTTTAAAGAGCTGCCTAAGACTGAGTAATTTATAAAGGAAAGAGGTTGAATTGACTCACAGTTCTGCATGGCTGAGGAGGTTTCAGGAAACTTATAATCATGGCAGAAGGGGATGCAGGCATGTCTTACATGGCAGCAGGCAAGATAGAGAGAGTGTATGAGTGAAGAAGGAACTTGCCAAACACATAAAACCATCATATTTCATGAGAACTCACTCACTATCACAAGAACCTCATGGGGGAAACTGCCCCCATGATCCAGTCATCTCCCACCAGGTTTCTTCTTCAACACCTGGGGATTACAGTTAAAGATGGGATTTGGGTGGGGACACAAAGCCTAACCATATTATTGCACCCCTGGCCCCTGCCAAATCTCATGTCCCTTTCATATTTCAAAACCAATAATGCCTTCCCAACAGTCTTAATTCATTCCAGCATTCATCCAAAAGTTCAAGTCCAAAGTCTCATCTGAGACAAGGCAAGTCCCTTCCACCTAGGAGCTTGTAAAATCAAAAATAAGTTAGTTACTTCCAAGATACAAGGAGGATACAGGCAATGAATCCTATTCCAAGTGGGAGAAATTGGCCAAAACAAAGAGGCTACAGGCCCATGCAAGTCCAAAATCAAGTGGGGCAGTCATTAAATCTTAAAGCTTCCAAATAATATCCTTTGACTCCACGTCTGACATCCAGGTCATGCTGATGCATGGGGTAGGCTCCTTCAGTCTTGGGAAGCTTCAACTCTGTGGCATTTTAGGGTACAGCCTGCCCATGGCTGCTTTCACTGGCTGATGTTGAGTGTCTGTGGCTTTTCCAGGAGCATGGTGTAAGATGTCAGTGGATCTACCATTCTGGGGTCTGGAGGATGGTGGCCCTCTTCTCACAACTCCACTAGGCAGTGCTCCAGTGGGGACTCTGTGTGGGGGATCCAACCTCACATTTTCCTTCCATACTGCCCGAGCAGAGGTTCTTCATGAGGGCTCCGTCCCTGGACCAAATTTATGCCTGGACATCCAGCCATTTTCATTCATCCTCTTAAATCTAGGTGGAGGTTTCCAAACCTCAATGCTTGACTTCTGTGCACCTGCAGGTCCAACACCACATGGAAGCCACCAAGGCTTGGGACTTGCACCTTCTAAAGCAATGGACTAAGCTGTATATTTGTACCTTTTAGGCATGGCTGAGGCACAGACCTCCAAGTCCCAAGACTGCATGAAGCAGCCAGGCCCTTGGCCTGGCCCAGGAAACTGTTTTTTCCTCCTAGGCCTTGAGGCCTGTGATGGGAGGGGCTGCCATGAAGACCTTCGACATGCCCTGAAGACATTTTCCCCATTGTCTTGTTGATTAACATTTGGGTTCTTGTTACTTATGCAAATTTCTCCAGCTGGCTTGAATTTCTTCCTAGAAAATGGGTTTTTCTTTTCTATTGCATCATCAGGCTGCAAATTTTTCAAACTTTCATATTCTACTTCGCTTATCAACATAAGTTCCAATTTCAGATCATGTCTCTCACATTCAAAATTCCATAGATCTCTAGGGCAGGAGCTAGTCTCTTTGCTAAAGCACAGCAAAAGTGACTTTTACTCCAGTTCCCAATAAGTTCCTCATTCCATCTGAGACCACCTCAGCCTGGACTTTATTGTTCACATCACTGTTAGCATTTTGATCAAAGCCATTAAACAAGTCTCTAGGATGCTCCAAACTTTCCCACATCTTCCTGTGTGCTGAGCCCTCCAAACTGTCCTGTTACCTAGTTCCAAAGTTGTTTCCACATTTTTGGGTATCTTTATAGCAGTGCCCTACTACCTCAGTACTAAATTATTGTATTGTATTAGTCGTTTTCACACTTCTATAAAGATCTGCCTAGGACTGGGTACTTTATAAAGGAAAGAGGTTTAATTGGCTCACAGTTCCACATGGCTGGGGAGGTTTCAGGAAACTTATAATCATGGTGGAAAGGGAAGCAGGCACATCTTACCAGGCAAGATAGAGAGAGCGTGTGAGTGAAGAAGTAAGATGCCAAACACTTAAAAAACCATCAGACCTCATGAGAACTCACTCACTATGATGAGAACAGAATGGGAAAAACCACCCCCATGATGTAGTCACCTCCCACCAGGTTCCTCCCCCAACACCTGAGGATTACAATTTAAGATGAGATTTGAGTGGGGACATCAAGCCTAACCATATCATAGGTCCTCTAAAAATAAATTCAGGAATCAATCAGTCCACATGGAGAGAAAAGCCTAAGCTTAAAGACAAAATGAAAGAACACGATGTAATTAAAAGGGATGCTAGCCTAAATAAGAAACAATATCACCGGTGGCATCTACCTTCTACTTAAGATGTAGAAATCGGAAAATAATATTCTTTCCATGTAACAGCATGAATAATGTGTATAATCTACAAAACCACACATTTCCTTGAGAGTTGATGTCACAAGGTAACAAAAGCCCCTGAAATTTATGTAAAGACAAGTGCCTTCAAGGAGAGACAGAACATAAGCACTGGCTCAACTAGGCAAAGTGTGGGAGGAAGAGAAAATTACCACAAAAGTGAACAAGAAGAATTCAGCTACAATTTTTAGCTATTTAAAGACTGAGTATGGGTTACCAGGAAAGTTTGAAACTCCAAAATGCTGCTGAAAAACGAGAGTTTGCATTCATTTACGGGTTCTACTGCATAGAACTGTACTAAGTTCTCACAGGAAAAATTGGGGTTATAGCAAAAGACTGGAGAAAGCTTCTTTTACTGGTGCAGGCGTGGTGAAGGGGAGTGGTTGCTGCTGCAGTAAAGACACAAAGCACTGTCTGGCTTTGTTTTCCCTAAAAAACAGTGAGTCTTGCCACCTCTAAAACACTGTGGCTGGGGAAAGGAAAATGGAAAACCACTCTGTGCCTAGGGCAGGGGCAGAAATCAATTCTAGCCCCAAATTATTAGCCTCAACATTCTCCTAGGACAGAGTAAATAATCAGCAAGCAAGATTTATCCCTAGAATTCAGAGACACAAAATGAAGCAGGAACAGAACAACCAAGTCTTCCTGCCTACTACCATCAGTGGGGCCAGTCTCAAGTAATATGGGTGAATTAGTTAGGCAAGACTATGGCGAAAGAGCTTTTATGAAGCATAAACACACAGAGAAGGCCTAAACTTGAGGAGAAAGCAAATACTGAGTGAAACTCTTCATATCAGCTGCCCCCTCCACCCCTCAGCACTGGCCACCACACAAATTAACACTGGAGGAATTGGAAACTGGTGGTAACCACAGGAAAAACAAAACACAAGCCTAACTAAATTCCTTTCTAGATTAAATCACCACCCCTCCATTACCTAAGCAAATGCTAAAAGCCTAGCATGCAAAAGAGTATGTGCCCATTTTCAGGTGAAAATACTAATTACCTCAGTCTCAATTGGCCTACATAAGAGGTATATCTTAAATAAAAATTTATGAGATACACAAAACCAATAAAAAAAATCTGAAAAGAAAAAATATCAATGTAATCACACTAATAGGCAATGTGGATATAGGTACTCCAAGACAAAGAATTTAGAGCAGCTATGATTAATACATTAAAGACTAGTAAGAAAGTTAGAAAGAATGAAGAGATGTGAAATTTTAGCAGAAAATGAAGAAACAATATGTCAGATGCAGCTAAAAGATAACAAAAAGGATATTTATAGTATGAAATGCTGTATTAAAAAAGGAAAAATCTCAAATACATTATTTAAAATTCCAATTCAAGAATCTAATAAGAAAGAACAAATTAATTTCACACCAAGCAGCCAGAATAAAATAAATGGTGAAAGCATAAATCAGCAAAGTTGTAAACAGAAAAACAATTGGGAGATCAATGAAACCAGAAGTTTGTTCTTTGAAATAATCAGTAAACTGATAAATCTTTGCCAAGAAGAAAAAAGAGAAAAGCAAAGAAACAAATACACAAAAATATTTGGAATGAAGAAAAAATCATAACATCATACAAGCATTAAAGATAATAAGAGAATATTATGATCAACTTTATGCACATTATTTTGTCCAGTTAGAAATTCTTTGAAAGATAAAAACTATCAAAGCTCACTTGAGAAGAAATATATATCCTAAAAAGATCTATTAAAGAAATTGGGTTTATGTTTAAAAATATTTCAGCAACAACAACAACAAAATTACAGGTAATTAAATAAAACATTTAAGAAAGAATGCCATTTCTAAATATTTACATTTGAATGTCCACTTTTTTCAATACCATTTTTTGAAAGTCTATTTTTCTTCATTGAATTTATTTTGATGCCTTTTTTCAAAATTAAATAATTCTATCAGTGTGAGTCTATTTCTGGACTCTCTATTCCATTCCAACCTATGTATCTAATATTTTGCCAAGAGTATACTGTCTTCAAGTACTGTTGCTTTACAGTAAACTCTGATATCAAGTATATCTAATGCTCCATTTTTAGCCATCTTCTAAAGTTGTTTTGGGGTATTCTGGTTTCTTTATCTTTCTATATAAATTTCATAATTGTTTTATCAGCATCTATTCAAAATCCTGCCAGCATTTTAACTGGAATTCTGCTGAATTGTACGTCAGTTCGAAATTGATATGTAAATAATATTATTCTTAAAATACACGAAAATGTACATACATATATCTAACTATTCTTTTATATCTTTCATTGTTAGTGTTTTATAATTGCCAGCATATTGATGCTTAAAGTATTTTGTTATATTTTCACCTACATATTTCATATTTTGGTGCTTCTAGAAATAATACTGGGTTTTTAAAAACCACTTTATTGAGTTATGTTTGACATGAAAAACGTTATACCTATGCAACTCAATGAGTTTGGGGATAATTATACACCTGTGAAACTATCACTACCTTCAAGGCCATAAACATCTCTACCACCTCCCAAACTTTCCTCTTGCTGTTTTATTATTATTATCATTATTTCTGTGTGAGTGGTAAGAACATTTAACATAAGACCTACCTTCTTAGCAAGTTTTAAGTATACAATACAGTATTGTTAACTGCAGGCACTATGCTGGACAGTATATCTCCAGAACATATTTTTCTTTTATAACTGAAACTTCCTACTGTTTGGCCAACATTTCCCAATGTCCCGTCCCCCCATCACCTGGCAACTACGTTTCTACTCTTTGTCTCTATGAATTTGACTTTTTTGGATTTTACATATAAGTGAAATTATGCAGTATTTGTCTTTTTGTATCTGGCTTAATTCACTTAGCATAATGTCTTCCAGGCCCATCTATATTGTTGTGAATGGCAGGATTTCTGTTTTTCAAGGCTGAATAATATTCCATTGTGTACATATATGTATACACACACACACACACACACACACACACACATATATATACACACACCACATTTTCTTTATCCACTTATCTATCAATGGACTTTTAGCTTGTTTCCATTATAAATAATGCTTCAATGAATAAGGGTGTGTAGGTATCTCTTCAAGATCCTATTTAAACTACTTTGGATGAATACATAGAGTAAGTTTGCTGGACATGATAAGTGTTAATATTCAAAATATATGCAGAAATTACACAACTCGATGACATACAACAAATAACCCAATTCAAAAATGGGCGGAAAACCTGAACAGACATTTTTTCTAAGAAGATGTACAAATAGCCAACAGGTACATGAAAAGGTATTCAATCCCGGTAATCATTAAGGAAATGCAAATCAAAACCACCATGGAGAGCCAGGTGCAGTGGCTCATGCCTGTCATCCCAGCACTTTGGGAGGCCAAGGTAGAAGGATTGCTTGAAGCCAGGAGTTCAAAACTAGCCTAGACAACATAGCAAGACCTCATCTCTACAAAAAATTCTACAAATAATTGTTTTTCATTAGCTAGGTGTGGTGGTGTACAACTGTAGTCCCAGCTACCTAGGAAGCTGAGGTGGGAGGATTCCTTGAGCCAAGGCGTCAGAAGCTGCAGTGAGTTAGGTTCATGTCACTGCTTTCCAGTTGGGTGATAGAGCAAGATCTTAAATATACTGTAAGCTTCCATCTAAAAAACAAAGGAGATAAAGTACCCAGGGACATCATAAGTTGAGACCTAAGAAAGAAGCATAATTTAGGATTCCCTATTCCTGCCAAAGGCATTCTTAAAATTTTAATATTTTGTCATTATTAGAGACATTGGTCTTTACCCCCAAATAAGCTCATGTAAAACTATCTAGCCACTCAGATCCAAAATACAGGTTTGTTGAAACAAGATGTGTCTTGCTTCATTGTGGTATTTAAAACAGCTCTAGCCAGATTTTGAAAATCATCATCTTTAAACCACTCCCATGAGGCTGCCAACTGCTCATTCATAATGAGTTTCTTGTTTCTCCCAAATGGTGGGCTTTAGGGACAGAGCAGGGATCACTAAAGATGATTACCATGGTCTTACTACAAATACCTAATTGTGTAGATGTATGGTAAATGTATGTTGTGTGTGTTTGTGTGTGTGTGTAAGAATGACATAGTCATTGGGCTCAATGATGAATTACAATCTTTGGACAATCAAGTCAGTTTTTGCTTTTTTGGAGCAAGACTGTTTCATTAAGCTATATATATATATATATATATATATATATATATATACACATACATACATACATACACACACAGATTTGGCTATCTAATATACAATAATGCATATTATATATTGTACATATAATATAATAACATGATATATAATATACAATATACCACATATATTATAACTATCTTGAGTGTGTTTAATCATGCTTCAAGAATAGTTGACAGAAAAACACTGCATATTACCAATTAGGACCATTAATAAAGAAAAAGTATTTATTCATTCACTCCTTTAATTATTTATTCAACCACTATTCTGAACATCTATAAAATACAGATCATGATGTTAAATGTTGCACATAAGGTGAGAACATGACAGAAAATCACATACTAAACAAACAATTTCAAAATGAATTATGCATTTGCAATTTTGTTAAGCGTGCTGTGAAGGAGAAAAACAGGATGCTATAAGTTCTTGTAACAAGAGGATCTGTTATGGAAGGCTTCTTTTATTCCTGCTTAATCACTCTAGTGAGTGTGTGTGTGTGTGTGTGTGTGTGTGTGTACTCCTGGGCTCAAATCAATCACAAGAATCTTTTATCATGCAAGGGTGTGGCATATAGAATATTGGAGGAAGAAGAAATTTTAAAAATCAGCCTTTTTGTCTTTACTCCTGGGATTTTCCTTGATATTTACTGTTCTATTTACCTTTGCATGATGAAGAACTACCTTATAGTTTGAACTCTATCAGAATTCTTCAATTTAGTATGGAAACTGTTAGTCAATGATCTCTTTAACTTGGGATGCAATTATAAAAAATAAAGAGAAATGATGAAACAACTAATAATTTTCCTGATTCTGGGAAGCAACCTTGAAGGCCTGCTGACACACTCTACTCTCCCTTTGAGAGAATGAAAGTAGAGTGGCCTCTGTGGTCCATCATCTCACAGGCTGTTTTCTTAACTCTTTCCAGCACCATGGCGCCATGGCATTTAGAACAATGAGTGAAATAATTTTGTACATTAAATGTAACCTGGGGGTAGCATTTTTAATATGGATATGTCAACGTAGGTTTCTTAAAAATGCTGAAGTAAGTTGGTGTAGAGATAGTTATCAGGAGGGATCTGAGAGGTTATCTAATTATATGCTCTTTTTTTTCCAGAAAATATTTTTAAAAATTAGGCAGATGAAATGATTGCATGACATGAAAATTGTGTGATTTATGGAAAAGGTGATGTTGGGGTTTTATTCAAGGTAAATAAACTCAGTCCTTTTCAACATTTTTCTCATTGAATTTTTCAGTACTCTAAACTATTTCAAAAACATTCTTTAACAAGAATAAAATGCTCAAATACAAAACAAAAATAGGTAAAGAAAAGCAAACATTCTGTTAGAAATACGTGATTTGGCTTGCTGTTTCTTTCTTCTCCCTACTCCATGGGGCTGCAGTGATCAAGATTTCCTCCTGGAGGAGTGAATTCTTCAGCTTTCAGCATCTGTTAATTCTCTGAATGTTGCCTGTCTTGATTTTATTACGGAGCATTTATAGAGAGAAGCATATCTCGCAGTGGCCATTAGGCTAACACTAGTAGATGATAGATGAAATGTCTAGCAGCTGCACATTATGCCATCTAGCCCTAAACTGGACATCTACAATTCATCCTTCAAAATACACATGTACATGATTACTGAAGTTACAGATACAATTAAATCTTCACCAGCAGATGTCTGGTGGGAAGGAGCTGGAAAGTGAGAACATAGTTGTAGCCAAAGATGCTGGATTGGGCATTGTATCTTTAAAAACAGCTATTCTTGGCCATGCGCGGTGGCTCACACCTGTAATCCCAGCACTTTGAGAGGCTTAGGAGGGCGGATCACGAGGTCAGGAGATCGACACCAGCCTGGCCAACATGGTGAAACCCTGTCTCTACTAAAAATACAAAAATTAGCTGAGCTGGTGGCACGTGCCTGTGGTTCCAGCTACTCAGGAGGCCGAGGCAGGCAAATCCCTTGAATCTGAGAGGCTGAGGCAGCAGTGCGCCGAGATCATGCCACTGCACTCCAGCCGGGGTGAAAGAGCGAGACTCTGTCTCAAAACAAACAAACAAGCAAACAAAACAGCTATTCTTTATCTGATTTCCTAGTTTAACTCTTTTGTTCATATGGCATCAGAGATAAAAATTCAGATTCTACCACATCAGCTCTTAGAGAATTTTTTTCTTTAAAAGGGTTGATATCCTTAGAAATGACCAAAATCCAGACAGATGCCTGTATTTTAAACTTGGGGCTTCTTTCTCATTTTCTTCTTTGAGACAGGTTCTTGCTCTGTCACCTGGAGTGCAATGGTGTAATCTGGGCTTGCTGCAACCTGCACCTCCCAGGATCAAGCAATCCTCCTGCCTCAGCCTCCCAAGTAGCCGGACTACAGGCACGTGCCACCACACACAACTAATTTTTGTATTTTTTGTGGAGATGCGGTTTCACCATGTTGCTGAGGCTGGTCTTGAACCCCTGGGCTCAAACAATCTGCCCATCTCAGCCTCCCACAGTGCTGAGATTATAGGCATGAGCCACTGTGCCAAGCCTAAACTTGGGGTTTCAATGCATCCCATCATTGTCTGACCCTTTAGGATGCCTATAACTACTTTACCCATGCCTGCAAAATATGATTCACCATGTATTTTCCTCACTTTGCTTCTTATTCAAGTCCATTGTCTTCTTGCTGTTCTCTATGGTATAGATATACTAAATATAAACATTTGTCTATCATAGATAAGTTAAAAAACTCTTGTAAAAATTTGACATGTTTGTAGAAAACTCTGCCACTCTTTAAACCTACTTCTTAATTTATTTTGCTTTCAAATTCATTCACATGTAACTGTGGCTAATCTTTCTTACTCTGATAATAATTACCTTATAGGATTTGTTTTGTGATGATTGAAGAAGTATCTAAAAGAGTTCCTGAAATGTGGTAGGTTCTTGATGAATAATAGCTGTACTATGGCAGGGTGGAAAGACCCTGAATTTTACTTGCAGGTAGATCAGAGTTCATAGTATATATCTATGGCTTGCTAGCTATGTGACCTTGGCTGTGTTGCTTAGCCTTTATGAGCATGAATTTCCTTTAAATGCAGGGAATAAACCCTAACTTGTAATGATGATGTAAGAATTGGGGACAATATTTCTAGCAAAAATGGAGTGCTCTATAAATGATACAATCACTATCATCATTCTTAGCTGCTCACTTCAGGAGCTTGAAATCTTTGTGTTGGCTGTTAAACATGTGATTTTACTTTTCCACACAACAAAGGGCATGGTAAACTCAGCCTCAGTTGGAGTTTGAAACAACTCAAATCTGTGGAAAACAACGTGGTACAGGTGTTTTTATCTTTCCTCCTGGGATTTTCCTCGATCTTTACTGTTCTATTTACCTTTGTATGATTGAGAACTACCTTACAGTTTGAACTCTCTATCAGAATTCTTCAATTTAGTATGGTAACTATTAGTTAGTCAATGATCTCTTTAACTTGGGATGCAATTATACAAAATAAAAAGAAATGATGAAACAACTAATAATTTTACTGATTCTGGGAAGCAAACTTGAAGGCCTGCTGACACACTCTCCCTTTGAGAGGGTGATGATAGTAGATGATAGATAGCAGGGCCTCTGGATAGAGGCAACATGGCTGTGAGTATGCACCCTAGCCCCAGTGGTGTGAAATTGAGCCAGATATGTCCTACTCTCAGCTTCTATCTCACATTCTAAAAATGTTAATATATCTTTATTTTTTCACCAAATATTTGAGGCACTACTACATACGTGGTATTGTTCCATAGCCTGGGGACATATGGCAGAAAACATCATTGCCCTCACGGACTTTACCTGGGGAGAAGTAGACAACAAACAGCCAAATGCATGCTTAACTCGTTTGATAATTAAAACTATGATGAGTAGTATCAAGGAAAAGTGTAGAATATCAGGACAGAATTTAGCGGGCACCCAACCTCATTCAGGAGAGCGCTGTGGAATATAACAATACTTCTTGCAATAATGTCATGAGGATTAACTGCCACAAAGTACTTAGCAAATGATCTGGCACAGAGTGAGGGCTCAGAAAATTGTTAACTGTTAAAACTATGTTTATTGAAGTCCCAATGGATAGTTTGTACAAGGATAATAAGTATAAAAGAAAGATGAATTAGGTTGCAGGCTGTGTCCCCTGAGGATTATACAGTTCCACTGAAGAGACAATAGGTCATACAAATATGAGATTAAATGCCCAAGCAATAAACCTCTAGGAATTTCATATTTTAAAGTATCAGTTTAGTCTGGAGTAGTCAAAAAATGGTCCCAGAAGAGATGAAATTTAATCTAGGCCCTGAAGAGAGAGTTGATTTTTTTTATAGTTAAAGACCAAAGGGAAGGTCTAATACTAATGTGTGCCTTCCATCTTTACTTCCTATATAGGTAAGGTAAATTGTAATTGCTCACCTGGTAGGTGATTCAAGGTTACGGCAGCAATTTAGTGATGTCATAAAAAACTAATCTTTTTTCCATTGTATTCTCCATCATTCTCTGAATGTTAAGGGTATTTCTCAAACAAGAAAGCAACAGCAGCTTCAAGCATATTGAAGTACAATTACAGTAAATACCAGGGAAATAATAGTTTTGCCCTACCAGCTTTATACACACACACACACACACACACACACACACACACACACACATATATTACAGAGAAAAATAGTTTCTGTAAGCACCTTAACAGAAGTCTTCTCACATGTCACTGGACAAAAGGGATTGCATGTACATTTCTAATCATTTGTTCAGGCGAATCAGAGTGCCATGAATGACTTACATAGAACATGTTTCATCCCCTTGGTGGGATATCTGGTGTTTGGAAATTTTTTTAAAAAAGGACAGTTCATCTATATAAAGACAAAAAGAAAAATGACTTTTAGGGGGGCCACTAACAGCCACACTTTCTATTCCTCCTTCTTTATCTATAAAATTTTCTTATATTCATCTATTCTGAGATTCCAAAGGAGAGCTCATTCTCGGTGTATTACATACCTGCTCCCCACAAGCTGAGGGTGCTGTCTCCTCTGAGAAAGATTCAAAGCTTTTGCCTCTTGATCTAGGATCCCACGACATAATCAGCTACTACTTCTCATAGAGCCTTCAGGTACATGATATTACATAGAAGTGGCCTAAAAGATGAAACACATGGGTGAAGCAGGAAAACCTTGTGCTGAGACATGTGATAAACTCATGAACAAGAGTGCATGGCAGCTGTAGACTCAGAGTCAGATCTTTGCTAGGAAGAGTGATGATTACATGCTCCATAATGTCAGAAGGATTGTCAGTTGGCACAAACTAAAAATTAACAAAACGAGACATGAAGAAGGAACATTTTCATTCGTTGTGCAAAACATCATAATTAGGTATGCAAGCTCCTTTCACTTATAACAAATTTCCACTCAGTACCATATTTGATTGTGCACATCACAAAGTATGAGTTTATCTTTTTTTGTTGTTGCAAGTTGCATAGTATGATAATAGAAAATCCCATACCTCTATGTTTTATCTTCGTGGGATGCTACCTTAACAGCAAGTCATCTATTCACAGCATTAAATGTTTAGAAGGTATATTGGTGAAACAAGAAATGTTATTCCTCTGATGCTCTATTATGAGGTTGTTTTATCGCAGGACAATATGTGGTACAGAAAGGACAAGATCTATGGAGTCAGGTAGGAGACATGGAAGGGAGAAATTTGCAGGCAACATGTAGGTTTAATGGAGAGAAGGAAAAAACTAGAAATGGGAAATCTCCATCTTTCTACAGAGAAGAGTGAACTAAAAGTAGTTAGAAAGACAGGTTTAAGAAACTAGACACAGAAGAAGATAAAAAGTCTAGGAATTTGCAGAAACTGAGTGAATTCAGCCACCCACCATTGGCTAGAGGAAAACTCTAGTTACTTCTAACTTTTATATTTTATATTTTCTCAATAGTTTCCATATAGTCAGCACCTAAATTGATGGCCCACTGTTTGTGTCTGAATTGTCCCATAAGGCTAAGGAAAGGGGTGGTGCTGATAATCTTTGGTATTTCCAGTGTGAGGAGGGCTGGGAGACTCAAGTGTCTTAGAGAGAGTTCAGCTCCAGCATTTGGGGCAAATTGGAGTAGTTTTGTTTCTTGCCCTTCTCTTTTGAAGTATTTATTCTATTCACACAATGTTTGCCATCAGAAACTCAATGCTGTTGTGTTGGCCTCTCCTCTTCATCAAGTGTACCCAATATCTTATTTGATCAGGACCCTGATCTCTGGAGTACAATGTTTTGTTTGGCTGGGAGAAATGAGAGCAACCAAATCATGGATAACAAAACAGATGTTTTTGTAAAACAAAGCAGAAAGTAAATCACGGTCCCCAGAAACCAAGAAACATTACTTTTTTCCTAGTACTATGCAGAGATTTAAATTTTTAACCCAGAATGACTCGTTTTTGAAGACTTGGGCACACTGTATATACCATCGGTGGTGTTGGAGATGGGGAGAGATAGGATTCAGAAGCCTGGAGCTCTCCCAACTACCTTAAGATGCACAGTTCTGAGGGACAGAGGTAACTGTTGCTGCCCTTATGGGTTGCAAATGGTGGAGCTGATGCAATCCCACCCACCAGAGGCCAGGTATTGGATGTATATATGGATGTGATGATTAGGGTTATAGGGATAAGTGTGGCTTTTCTTGCTTCTGATAATATATTTAATGGTGAGCGAGAATAAATGAATTCTATGTTTTTTAAAAACCACAGGAACCACCTTTAGGTAGTCATGCAGGAAGTGATTAAAAAAAGAAAGAAAGAAAAACTCAACTATTTCAGGCCTCTTCTTTCTGCCCATAAAGTGAGCACCTGTTGTTTCTTTGAATTCATCAAACACTTTAAACTCATTGATGTTTTTGTAAAACTTATGATAACATTTAATAGTGCATTTTAAGTGACAGTAAATTTTGGTAAGTATAGTACTTGTTTATGACTTTGAGCTACACAGAGTGCATTTGCTTTTTTGAAATATTGCGTCTAGCACCTAAGATGAGACTACTTCATATTCCTATGTTAAAAACTGTTGTCATGAACTTGGTCTAAATTCAGACTCATCATCCATGAATGCACAGGGGTGGATGGAATCAATTTTAAATCAGTGAGCTGAATTGCAGGAATGTAAACTAAGTATAAGCTGTCATTCTAGAAAGTTGACTCAAGAAAACCAGGTCCTTAAGAAATATCCTGTGATTGCAGTGGATCTTCTGGTGAATAAATAAGCTACTGCTGCTAAATATGCCTCTACAATATGCTTGACAGTAAAGAGAAGCAAGTGATGATCTTATGAATAAAAACAGCTACTGTCAGAAAAGTTGAGACACCCTGAAAAGTCAGTGTCCTCAGTTCTGCATTATGACACGTAGCAAATAGAAAAATATTATGCTAATAATAGTAGTTGGTGTACTAAGTAATTGCTTTATGCAAAGAAGTTTACACCGATTATCCTTAAGACATCCCTGTAAAGTTAGCAATATTAGTAGCCTCATTTTACATGCAAGTTAACTTATATTTAATGTTTAGATCACATCGTTTTTTAGCAATAACGCTGAAATTTGAATTCAAGTATGTTTCATTTCTGGGCCTACTCTCTTAACCACTATGCAGGGTTAAATATCTAAACACATCCTGATTTTTGATGATGGATAATAATAAATGGATTACTATTGCACTTTGGGATCTGTTGTTGTGTTGTTATTTTACACATCACTTGCAGTTATCCACGTGTGATTACTGGAAGGTGGGCTATGAGGTTAATTGACTGCAGTCATTTAGTCAATGTTTACGAAAGCAGACTTCTAAGTCCTCTTGACTCTATGTCCATGGGTCCCTATATTTTGCTCTTTAGCAGGCCTAACCTATGCTTGTAACTTAGAATATTATTCAATATGATGTTCTATTTCTCCCTTTTGCTTATTGTAATACACTGTATCTCACACTTTTTGACTTAATTAAACCGAGATATAGTCTATGTATTAATTTTGCTAGGGCTGTCATAACAAAGTATCACAGATTGGGTGGCTTAAACAACAAAAATTTATTTTCTCATGATTGTGGAAGCTAAAAGTCTGAGAGCAAGGAATCAGCAGGGTTATTTTTTTTTTCTATGACCTTTCTCCTTGGCTTGTAGATGACCATTTTTTCCTCTTCTACCTGTCTTCTCATTGTCTTCTCTCTCTACATGTCTATGTCCAAATCTCTTCTTACAAGGATACCATTCAGATTTTTAGACCCACTCTAATGGCCTCATTTTAACTTGATCACCTCTTTAAAAAAACTTATCTCCCAATACAGCCATATTCTGAGGTACTGGAGACTAGGGATTTAAGATATGAATTACAGTTTGAAGGACTCAAACTGCTTGCTGATAGTTTAGAATTTCAAAATCAAAAACCTCTACTTTACCCTTTCTAACCAAAACAAGTAAAACATATTCAAGTTAAGAGGTTTAAAGATAATACTGACTTTCAAATGGAATGTGAAATTCCTCAAGGGCCATGAAAATGTCACAGAAATTCTTTTTGCCCCGGTCCCCCACACATCCAATTTTGATTAGATTAAAACCCACACAACTGGCTATTACTAACTATTCCCATTAGGGCTACCTGAGAGATTTATGAAATGATCTGTTGTTACATCTAAAACAGTTATTATTTCTGCTAATTAATAATTCATTTAAACTAAATATGCAGACAAAATACTAACCTGTCTTCAGGACCCAGTAGCAAATTACTAAATCAGGCCTGATTCTACCTTAGTATTCCAAAGACTATGACAGCATTTGTCAACAAATATTAAAAATAGTGTCATTTGGTTCTGTGTCGGTGACAAAGATCATGACACTTTTCAGAAAGGCCAAGCAAAATCAGTATTTCTGTATGATTCAAAGTATAGTGTGATAAGAGATAGAGAGAAGACTAAGAAAGGAACAGAACATGAAAAGCATTATGTATCAAAGATCTTGGACTCCAATATCCAAAATAAATTCACAGGGTGCCTATTCTGTTCTACGTACCATTTGAATCCCTAAATACACAACAATTCTCCTGACAGAAATGATTTCTGGTCTCATGGAACTCAGTATCTCACAGGGAAGACACACAATCCCCAATAGGGGGAGGTCCTTTGAAGAATTTCATATAGTTAAGCCACATGATCAGATTTTTAACAATTCCTAAGAATCAGATCTCCCAAATTTAACTTAGTTGAATGTTTAAATTTAATTCAGATTTATTTTTTTTTCTTGGATAGAAAAATAAAGATGCACGTTAAGCTTCTAGCAACATTCTGGAGGTTAGAAAGCTGAACTCAAAATCATCTGTCCCCATTCTTGTGATACCAGAGAAAAAGTGGCTGGGCAGACGTGACACTAAGTATTCCCATTCTATAACCCTGGTTCCTTCCAGGCTGTGTTAATCTGGCATTCCAGGGCTAGCGATAAAGCCCTGGGGTGCTTTGTTTACAAACCAAGGCAAAATAATTTACAGAATATTTTCCTATAAAAAGAATAACTTCAAGAGGTTTTAAACTTTTCCTAATAATACTGACTTTTAAGAACTCTTTGAAATTGCCTTCAAAAGCAGTTTAAAATAATAAAAGAATTCAGGATAATAATTTTAAGATCCCATATTCTTTCAGTGGTTCTCAAAATGTGGTCTCCAGACCACATCAGTATCACCTGGAAACTTTTTAGAAAAGTACGTTTTCAGGTCCCACCCTCAACGAAATGATCAGAAACTCTGAGGGTAGACAGAGCACTCTGGGTCTGAATGAGAGCCCCATGGTATCCTGAGGCTGTTAATCTGGGGAATCACACTTTAAGAATCACTGTATTATTTTGTCCCAATTAATATTAATCACATTGATCATTTCATCTTATCACTAGCCACCCTTAAGTGACTGAGCAGCTTCTCAAAGCCACCCTCAGAAAATAAATCATTCTTACCAGTGAGGTTATTTAAGAAAGCACGCTGCATGATATCAAGGTAATTCTAATAACAACAACAAAAAAGCAGAAACAGCACAATGGGGTTATTTGGAAAGAGAGAATGATTATTTGAATAAATATATACTCATCAGTCTTGCAACATGGCAATGGAAAAGCTGTGGTCATATAGGTCAAACTTAGTATAAGTAAATTTATATTTTGTTTCCTGACTTATTTTCTGCCAACTTTTTTCCACGGTGTGTGTACAAAAAAAAGTTATCAAGCTGGAGAATCCTAAACAACAGGAATCTTATTTTACACTTCATCATTTATCTTAAGAACGTTTTCAGGCCAGGTGCAGTGGCTCACGCCTGTAATCCCAGCACTTTGGGAAGCCGAAGCAGAGAGATCACTTGAGGTCAGGAGCTCGAGACCAGCCTGGCCAACATAGAGAAACCCCGTCTCTACTAAAAATACAAAAAATTAGCTGAGTGTGGTAGTGGGCGCCTGTAATTCCAGCTACTTGGGAGGCTGAGGCAAGAGAATCGCTTGAACCCGGGAGGTGGAAGTTGCAGTGAGCTGAGTTTGCATGACTGCAATCCAGCCTGGGTGACAGAGCAAGACTCTGTCTCATAAAAACAAAACAAAACAAAACATTTTCATTTCTATTACTTTATTATAAACCACCACGGCACACATTTACCTAGGTAACAAACCTGCACATGTACCCCGGAACTTAAAATAAAATTTTTAAAAAAGAGTACACCAAAAAAAATTGCTAATTGGAGAAACCAGTAAGCACAAATTCCTCAAGTACTTCACAAAGTGTAGCATTTTTGCATTCTGTAGCACATGTAAGCTTCAGTGGAAAGTTGTACAATTCGACATGGCTGTAGCTTGAAAAAGAAGCATGCTATTTCTTATAGGCTTTAATAGGTAAACTCTATTAAAATCATCTTTTTACCAGTAAAGAATTTCTTAATAATTTGCTGTTTGTAAAATAGTTACCTTTTTTAAAGAATGTATGACTTTTTTGGAAATGTATTTTTAAGTGCGTTCTTTCGGACCCACAAATTCAGGATGATGGAAAGGAAGACAGTTGTGGTTTTGCTAAATGAGTAAATGTGTGGAAGTATTACATAACCAAAGGGGTTCATGTTTTAGTGCAAGTGGCTAGAATTTTAAATAGCTCTAAAGTTCCCTTTCTATTGATTTATATTCAGACAAAAAGCCCTACTGTATAAACCAGGAAAGAACAAGCATGTAGATGGATAATACAGCTATATTAGCTGCTATGTCAGCAGTTTCCATACTCAGATTAATGCACAGAGACTCTCTCTTGACATCTGTTTATGTGCCACAAGCCAGACAAACAAAGGCAATCTACTAACCAGCATAAATTACACACACATTTCTTGTCTCTTATTACCAAATGGGTTATTGCCACTCTCAAAAAAAATGTTAAACATTTTTCTTTAACAGAACAAAAGTCTGGACACACTCAATACACATCTCTTGAAATGAAGAACTGTTGTATTTTTAGTATACGTTCTTTGAATGTTATTTCAATTATTTATTAAGTACTCCCAGGCATCTAGGTGTCAAGGAAATAATTTCTTGTGAAATCTCACTGACTCTTTGTTAAATTCTAGTAGATGCTAGAGAGAATATGTTAATTCTCTTGGAGGAATAACATGCAAGATGCAGAGATTTAATTGTTAAAAAAGATTCAGACCTCTGTCCTCCTCATGCTAATGAAGTGTTTTCTCATTAGACAATTAGAAGGGTAGTCTTCACTCACGTCAGATATGCCTGCTGTTCTACTTTCTCGCACCCTACCAATTAAAAAAAAATTAAGTTGCCATTGAGAGTAGATTGACAGCTACAAAGCAATTTGGGAAAAGTTTGCTGTCAGGTAAGCCTGAAACCGGTTTCTGAGACAGTACATGGCTCCTTCCTATCTTAGAAAAATACAGAAAACCATAGTTATTTTGCAGGAAAATATGTTATCTGTTGGAATGACCTGGCTTTTGTGGCATGACTACCCTACCTAAGAATGGATACAGTATCTAATTTGAGGAAATATTTGACTACAATGAGATGACTAGGAAGAATTTGGCCACCTTTACATGTAGCCTAGCAAGGAAATCAATTGTGTTACTGTGACTCTGAAACTTCAGCCAGGTAGTATTGGCTATCTAAGTCTGTGTGTTAAAAAAGGTCTGACTTGCATCATGTCAGCAGGAATAAAGGCCTTTTAGATTAGGTATGGCTGCCATAGATGAGAGAGGGGGAGGGTGGCCCTTGAGCCAGGGGCTGTTATTCTTTATGGGAAAAGAGGGTTATAACCAACTGCCACTGAGATGTCTAATGAATATCTCAAATTTGTCCTGTCGATAAGTGAACTTCTTCCTCTCCCCACCACTCACTTGCTCTCACTCCACCTGCAGTCTTCTTTATACCATTTGAAGACATCTTCATCCTTCCAGCTGCTCAGGGCAAGCAACTTGGGGGCATTTCTGATTCCTCTCTTTCTTTCATCCAGTCTCTCAGGATATTCATTTGGATTAACTTTCAAAATAAATTCAAAGTTCACTGTTATCATCATGGTAGTAGTTACTATCATCTGTTTTAGAAAGCCTAGATTTTCTAGTCATCCCAACATACACTTAAACACACATTAACAAAAACAAAATGCATCTTTCAAAAACTGAAATCGGATTAAGTCATACATCTGTTTTTCCTAAGGTAGCCTTTCTACTTTCCTAAGGTAACAGAGTGGCTGCCTCTGTATGGAGTGCCTGTCCCTCTGCTCCAGATATCTGCAAGGTGCACTCTCTCAGCTGCTACAAGTCTTTGTTCAAATTTCACCCTCTCAGGGAGGTCTTCTCTGATGCAATTTCAATTCTTCCTGGCATTCTCAATCTTCTTTGATCTGTTTTTTAGTAATGTATATATATTAACATACCATAAAATTTACTTAGTAATTTTTTTTCTATTTCTCCACTAGAATGCTGGTTTCCAAGTGCTAGTGACTGGGGGCTCTTGTGCTTAGTGATGTAGCCCAAGTGCCTGGATCAATGACTGGCCTATGTCAATGATTTTATAAATGTCCATAGGATTTTAATAAATGTCACTTGAAAAATAAATACATTTTGTTCTCATGTCAGTATAGAGGATAATATTCAAGGATAATATTCATTATTGGGAATTTGATCTTCAACATAAAATTGAATAAAGAATGCAGTCTGGAACCAAGTAGCTGAAATTATAGTTTTCTCTACTTAAGATAATTATGCCAAATGCACTCATTTAGTTTAATGACTATATTATTATATTGTGGATTACGGTATAATAATATAATGTATATTATACTATATTATAATATAGTATTATACTATATAATACTATACTGATCATACTATGTTACAAATCTTAAAATAGAATGTTGAACACACATGCAAACATACAAACAAAAATCTAAGTTTTCATGATAATAATTTTTTAGTTGCTTCTCCCATCTGGTTCGTAAAACCGTTCATGGAAAGATGAAACCTCAATAGGCCCATATAGGATGACCTACATTAGTACTTCAAATATTAAAAAAAAGAAACTCAAGAAAAAGATTACATTAAACCCTTAAGTTTCTACAGCTGCCTAAGATGAGTTTTTAGGCTCATTAGAAGTTTATTAAATGAGTCAATTTTCTATTTTCTATAATGCTTTCTTCAAAACTTTTACTGTGGCATATGCTTTTAATCCACAGTATAATATAGTTATTAAATTAAATGAACGCATGTGGCATAATTATCTTAAGTAGGGAAAACTATAATTTCAGCCCCTTAGTTCCACACTGCATCCTTTATCCAATTTTATGTTGATGATCAAATTCCCCTTTGCTGTGAGCTAAAGTTCTTGACCTATCCATTTTGTAGCTTTAGAGAATTTGCCAGGACACTATAGGAAAGAGCCACTGAAAAAGAAGGCATATCATTTAAGAGTAGCTGAATTGTGTTGTATTAGATGATTATGATGTTTTTGAGTATCCACCCTGGAAACGTTCTCTCTAAAGCTATCTTATTTTCATGAAATGTGCCAACCAGTGATGTAATTAGGCATAAAGAGCACAGAGCCACAGGAAGACCTTTGTAACACGCTGGAAAAGTTGTAGCAAGGTTAAACCCCAGGCCAGGCATCACTGTAAATCAAGGCACACATTTCGAAGGAAAAGACACTTGACAGTGGAAAAGAGCAAGCGCACGTTCCTTTACCTTTAACAATCTCCCCCTTGTGGCCAGAGTGTGAATAAACACATGAGCTGTGGCCTTGGACATGACTTTGCTTCGAGTTCAATGGCAGTACCTCACCTAAATTGATCATGAGTTCCTCTGCGTAAACTTGGTGCCTGTAAAACTTAATTTACTCAATTAGTAAATATTAATCACAACTTTTGGCAATAATGCGTGCCCATCCCACAGCTGACTAGAACTTATTCTTTTAAGAGAATAAGATCTGGATGTATACTCCTCCTAGAGCTACCAGACCTGTAAAGTGAAGATAGCTCCTATCTCAAAGAAGGTTGTAAGAATTAAATGCAAAGTGCCTAGAACAATGTTGCATGTGTAAATGCTTAAAACATACTCACTATTCATCTTTACTGCCAATTTGTAGAAAAGTGTTTTTTCAGAAAACCCTCTGGACTAGAGCCTGTAATCAAAAGAACAGAAAGTGTCAGATTAACTAAAATTCAATTACACAATCACGTATATTACACACAAACCAAGTTCTGATCTAGAAACAAAAAAGTGTTTGATTTTGGGGTAAAATCCATGAAAATTTCCTATAAATGAATCTTTATTTGGGTCAAGTAAAGATGCTGTATGGAACTCAGAAGATTAGGCAAAGTCTGTAATATCAGCTGGTGTTATCAAGAAGTTATGCATCAGATCATAGAAAAATACATTGCTCTTTTATTTCATTTAAATTGATTAAGCACTAAAAAAAGTCATAAATAAATATTCAGGCCCATTCAGCAATTTGATTTGTTTTATTTTAAGATTATACTAATTAGAAGGATTTAAATACAAGTCAAGTCTGCTGCATTGTTTGATGAACTAATAAAAATCCATCTGGACTCTGGGCATGATAACAAAATTAAAGATACATATCAGCATCTGAATGAGTACCTAGATTCCAGAAGATTAATATCTTTCAACTCCTGCTATATCAAATTACTCACATCTCTGTAGCCTTTTTATAATTTCTTAGAGCTTTAGAAATGCTTAATAATTGAGAATAATACATGCGATAGAATGAAATAATCCAAATGTGTATTTCTTATTTTGTAGACAATGATCTTGCTATGTTCAATTTGCCAAGCTTTTGTTGAGAAATGCTATGCACTAAGTTCTGTGCTAAGGGGACATTGGTAACACAGAGATGAATAGCATATGGCTCCTACCTCCAAGGAGATGAGAGAGACATGCAAAAAAAAAATAATTAAAATAGCAAGTGGCATATGCAATTGAAGAAATATTTGCAGGGAGCATAGGCTGTAAAAATGTTGTTTCTGAGTGAGAAAGACAAGGGACACTTAGGCAGAAGAATGATGGTTCCTGGGAAGAATAAGAACATTTTATGAAGACAAAGAAAAAAGAGCTTTGCAGGAAATTGTACAGTAGCAAGAAGCAGTCAGCTACATTGGGAAGTCTTCAAGCAGTTCCGCTTGGTTGATACACAGTTTGATGCTTTTGCCATTGTCACACCTTGGATTTTATATAACTAAAATAAAAATTGCTTTGATTCTTAGTTCTGGCATTTCCCAGCATACCATGTCATTAAGTCCTGTTACTTTATAGACAAAGGATCTGGATAACTTTACACCAAAAGCAGAACTTACAGACACTACTGTTCACATAAAAATGAACCAAAAAGAAACCATAATTATTGCATAATATTCCCTCCAAGTTCTTCTATGCAGTTTTAAATTTGTACAGTAATTTGTCTAATTTCCTTCTGGTAAATACTATGCAATTTTGATAAACTTTTTGAGCTTCTTTTGCCTAGCTTTCATTCTACATCTACATTGACTTCTACATTGAATCCATTGAATACTGAATGAGTAAAGTGGTTATAGGTAAATGTACAGTGTATTCTGGATGGAAAGAATAGCTTGCTATGTGTTTTGTTTTCCTCTGTTCGTTAATCTTCTTATCTTCAGGGTAACTCAGTATTTTCCAGACTTCATCTTTATAGGAAGGAAGGATGGAAGGAAGGACGGAAGGAAGGAAGGAAGGGAGGGAGGAAGGGAGGAAGGAAGGAAGGGAGGGAGGAAGGAACTGAGGGGGAGGGGAGGGGAGGGGAGGGAGGGAAGGAAAGAAGGAAGGAAGGAAGGAAGGAAGGAAAGAAGGAAGGAAGGAAAATAGGCTTATGTGAGGAGGTTTGGGCCCCACAAATTGTTATTTTACAAGAAAAACTCTGAAATATGAGAACCAAAACAACAGCCCTTCACATACCCCAAATGATAAGAGGCAGAGCAGAATTGTCCCACTAATATCAGAATATGGTTTGGTCCTGGTGTACTGAGCATGGAGTAAATGTAGTATACTTTTGTACCTCACCAAGCCTTTACACCTTTGGAAGAATAAGGGATTAATACTCTGTGTAAAAATATTGACAGCCTCAAGGATATTAGAAGCTGCAGAGACAGAAGGTAATGATTCTTGTTAAAATGCTTCATAATCAGCAGGTAAAAAACTAAGCTGGAATTGGAAAATATGAAGAAGCATTTACAAGAATATGCGAGACAAACCCTGAGATTTCCAAAACTGTATAGAAAAAAATCCAGAGACTGGGTCAAAACTATTACTCAGGTAAGGAAACAACTGATGAAATTAATTGTTAATTTAATATCATTTATACTCATATGCAGGAAGGCTTAAAGAATTCAAGCCACATATTATTTTACAGCAACAAGAAAGACAGAAGCAGTAATGAAAACCTATTCCGGGGCTGTTATACACGAAAACTTCAAGAACTTTAGATACATTAGATCCTCAGAAGAATAGTCTGAGGTGGGTGTCGTCATCCCTGTAATTCCAGTATGAAAAATGAAATATAGACACCTCAAGTACTTTGCCTCTGATCATGCATATAGTAAACAACAGAGCTAGGGTGGAACTAGGACCGTCTAATCTCAAAGTCTCTGCTTCTTCTCATAAGATATGGAGGGCCAGCTGTTACTTAGTTTATAGTTTAAAGTGGAGTCCTAAGGAATGAGACCAGCAGACCCAAAAACCATAATGGGCAAGAACATTCTCAATTCTTCTTGAAGCCTCAAAATTAAAATTTCCAGATTTAGAAAGTAAAAATACAAATGCCAGTTAAATTTGAATTTTAGATAGGCAATGACTACTTTTTAGTATAGGTATATCCCAAACATTTTATGCTAAATATTTTATTTGTGGTATATCTGAAATTCAAATTTAACTGGATTTTCTGTATTTCATCTGGTCAATCATACTCAATACAAAAAATTATGCTACTTCTTGTATTAATTTGTTTTAAATGTCAAAATTGACAAAAATGTTCAGTGTTGAATTCTAACTCAAATGGCTATTTCTTCAAAGCATTAGATAATAGCTATGTTTTCCATGCTGTTTTCACGGAAGCAGCCAGCAAATATACCCAGAATTTTCTGTGAATTGTTGAGTATAGCAACAAAATAGATCAAATACTGGAAAAAAGCCTTAAGAGAAGTTTTAGTCATCCTGTGTACCTCATCATAAGCTATTCCAGGGAATCTCTAGCATGTGATTCACTCTGAAAACAAAAACAAGAGAAATAATTGGTATTTACTGAGAATAGTGTTTGTCAGCTCATACCTAGCTACCATTTCATTTTATCCCACAGCTTCCTCCTAACATGGGTGGACAAAAGATGAGATCATCATATTTAACAGGCACTACAGCAACAGGAAAACCTGGTGCTTTTGGAACGTAAAATTACTGAGTTTGACATGAAACTAAGAAACTGGGGTTCACATGGACTTCCTGGAGTTTAAGCATGTCTGATGTACTCAAAATGCTAAATTAGATTTCATGCACTGAGCCTCTTTATCTTTATTTTCTTGAAGATTTTGAGTGTGAATAGGCTTAAAGAAGTGTCGAGCCATTGTGGAACCACTACAACCCCTGCCATGATTACAATTCCCAGGGTATGTGATTGTACAAGTAAGTGGCATCCTCATCCTGGTCTTTTCCCCAAATTTGTTTTGAATCATGTGTAAGTTCTGTCGCCCCTCTATGCAAGCAGAATAGAGGTTGAGAGCCTATGGTTTGGAGCCTGACTGCGTGGTATCAAATCCTGACTGTGCCAGTGTGTTATATATATGTAATCAAAGCATATCATTTTGGTTTTACCTCGCTAGGATTGTTAGGAGAATTAAAAGCACTTAGAAGAGTGCTAGATATATAGTAAGTTCTGAATACATGTTATTTATTTTGTTTCTTTAGCAAAACTAGTCATATTGCATAAGATATTTTATAAAGATAAACTTCAATAATTAGCCTTGTGACTGGAAACAACATAGGAAACATTCTGGATCTTAATTAATTTCCTTAGTGGTAAGATGAGGAAATCTCAGAAATGATCCTTAAATAGTGAATGCCAAAATAGTCTATGCTAATTAATTACAATTACAGTTGCTAGTGATCATTGTAATAAAATATCTTTGAAGGATGTCTCAGATGTAAAAAAATATTAACAGTCACATTGGGAAACTGGGTTGTAGATAATAAAGTTAAACTCTGCCACTCACTGAGGATGTTTCTATCTAAGTTCTCTAGTATCTAATCATTCTTTAGTGTATTATCACTTTTAAGAGCTCAGATAGATATAGAAAGCATTATATAGTAAAATCTCTAAAATTGTAACAAGAGAAACCAAAGGATCCAAGAGGCATAGTGCTTTGTTCAAGTTAAAGTCAGCAAATTGGTGACTGGTAGCATCACCCAAGATGGCCCCCAAGGGTCACTATCTCCTGGTAATCATGTCCTTATATAAGTTTTTCCTGTTTGCCTATGGGCTGGACTTAGTAATTTGCTTCTAATAAATGTAATGAGTGGAAGTACTAGTATGAGTTTTTCTCTCTATCCCTCTCCTACTTTGTTGGAAGCCAGCTGCCAAGTCAGGAACAGCCAAAAGAAGAGGCTCAATTGGCAAGGAAATGTAGTCTCCTGCCGACGGCCATGGGAGTGAGTTTGGAAACCGACCCCCTATCCCCAGTCATCTCTTCAGGTGAGTGGTGCCCCAGGAAACAAGTTTATTACAAGTTCAGGGGAAACTCAGAATCATCCAGCTATGCTGCTCCCAGATTCCTGGCCTTCAGAAACTGTGTGAGATAAAAATGTTTTGTTGTTTTAAAATGTTCATATTAGGGTAAATTTGTTACGCATCAACAGAGTAATGATATGAAGGCAGAGCTGTTATCAGAGGATCATGTTCTTGCTGAGCAGATAGAAATTTCTTGAGTAAAGGGTGGAATCACTATTGTTTGTTTTCAGGTTTTAACAACACATTTGAACAATGATATAAAGCTCGAATTATTAGTTAAAATTGTTCAATTATTAGTTCAAAGTTGAAATTATCATTTTTAATGAGCCCATTACTCAGTCACAGGGATGGAAAGCACTGATGGCACTCCTCATTTACCAACCACCATGGCCACAGCATTTCTAGCTATTTACTGAGGCTCCACCTAATCAGGGCAGATCTTAAATCCACCTCGCCTGTTGGGGTGAATAAACACTTCTTACAATTCCTGCAGGTGACAACAACTTTGCAAACAACATTCACAGGTGGATTGGATCCTTTATATTGTGACAACAAAACCTCTAATTGAGGACTTAAAATAGATTCTATTTTTCAGACAAAGAACTATTTACCTAGCAATCTTTTCAAGTAGATCAGTGTTTTAATCATGGCTTGACACCGTGAGGAAGCATGCTAAACAGTCCCTCCTTGGTCATTAAAAATATCAGGCTTAGGCGGCCGGGCGTGGTGGCTCACGCCTGTAATCCCAGCACTTTGGGAGGCCAAGGCAGGAGGATCACGAGGTCAGGAGATCGAGACCATCCTGGCTAACACAGTGAAACACTGTCTCTACTAAAAATACAAAAAATTAGCCACGCGTGGTGGCGGGTTCCTGTAGTCCCAGCTACTCGGGAGGCTGAGGCAGGAGAATGGCGTGAGCCCGGGAGGCGGAGCTTGCAGTGAGCCGAAATCACGCCGCTTCACTCCAGCCTGGGCGACAGAGCAGGACTCCGTCTCAAAAAAAAAAAAAAAAAAAAGAAATTAGGCTTAGACAAGCATAAAAATGAAGGTCACCATGAAACCATGCCAAGTCCAAGAAGCAATATGTCATCACTGGTGAACAGGTGGAGGAAACCTCCTGTGAGTTGATTTTCAGGAGATTTCAGAAACTTCAAGCAACAGCCAAAGCTGGCCGTGACTTCCTAGATGGAGAAAAGAGAATGAATACAAGCGCTTCGTTGTCAAGGCAAGGGGACAATTCTGATGACAGCCTGGCATCTACATTCAAATGATTTCCCAGGTATCTCCCATTTGGATTCACTTTGGGATCCCATGGATAACAGAGGGGACCTAAATAAAACATGAAACAACTGTGTCACTAAAAACTATCAGATATTGGGATCACTGCCTGGAATTCATTTAGCAGAGTAGAGTACTAAGAATGGAGAGCTATTAATTGATTCCTCAAAAATTTACCTGTGAATTGTGACAATGTTTTGGGGATGAGGTGGTATTTGTAACAGAGAAGAGGATACACTAGCACAACAAAATCTGGTGGAGATACCCTTTGGAGTACTGCAGTGTCCAGAAAGCAGTGTAATCCCCCAGAAATGGGTTGTTTTTTAAGCAAATGTAAAGCAACCTCTGGATACTCCCAGGATCATTTTGGAGGTGGAGCCTTTCCAAAGTAGAGACAAGGGCCAGTGAAATCTGAGTAATTAAAATTGCCATGACTATAGACGTGTTTCCATGCCCATGATGCCTGGGAAGAATGTATATGCATATTTTAACCAGAAAGCTGAGAAAGGAAGAAAGAAGAAAGGCACTTTCTAAGAATTAGGATAGATAGATTACATCCTTGCAACAGGTATAAAGACTTCTAAGGGAGATATACTGCAACTACAAAGACACAAGGCTTAGTAACTTCATATTATAATCTAATATTATATACACAGCATATAGTATACCTTCTTAGTATACAGAGATCCTGCATTATATTTGATTTCTATTAGTGTTATAACAAATTACAAGCAACTTAGTTGCTTAAAACAACAAAGAATTATTACCTTACAGTTCTGGAGATCAGAAGTCCAAATCAGTGTCAGTGGGTGAAAATCAAGGTGTTGGCAGGCCTGCATTCGTTGTGCAGACCCTAGGGGAGAATCCAGTCTCTTGCCTTTTGCAGCTTCTGGACCCTGACTATGTTCCCTGGCTCGCAGACCCTCCTCAATTTTAAAACCCAGCTGGGTTGCATCTTCTCTTTTCTCTGACCTCTACTTCTGTGTTTACATTGTCTCTCTCCAGTTTTGATCTTTCTGTCTCCCTCTTATAAGGATGCTTGTGATTATAATACATTGGCTGACCCAGATAATTCTGAATAATCTTCCTATCTCAAGATCATTAATTATATCTGCAAATTCTCTTTTACCATGTAAGACAACATATTTACAGATTCTGAGGATTAGGACTTAAACATTATTGGAAGGGGAGGTGTATTAGTTCGTCTTCACGTTGCAGATAAAGGCATACCCGAGACTGCGTAATTTATAGAAGAAAATGGTTTAATGGACTTACAGTTCCACATGGCTGGGGAAGCCTCACAATCATGACTGAAGGCAAGGAGGACCAAGTCACGTCTTACATGGATAGCAGCAAGCGAAGAGAGAGCTTGTGCAGAGAAACTCTCTCTAATGAAACCATCAGATCTTGTGAGACTTATTCACTATCATGAGAACAGCATGGGAAAGACCTGCCCCCACGATTCAATTACCTCCTACTGGGTCCCTCCCACAACACGTGGGAATTCAAGATGAGATTTAGATGGGGACACAGCCAAACCATATCAGGGACATCATTTATTCAGCTACCACATGCATATACAGGAGCCATGAATTTATACCCCATAACAAATTATTTCCTTTTCCATTTTTTCCTCATTCCCAGCGTATAAATTTTCTTGTTCATTGCCTTATTTTCTTTTGCTTTAAATACTTAGAATTTCAAGTTAAAGCCACTTCAAAATCCCATCTCTGATTTAATTTTTAGATCAGTGATTTATTAGATAGGGTTTTGCTTGTTTTTACTGGTATACAATAAAGGATAGTATTACTAAATTATGAAATGCTATAAGATCCATCTATTTCAACTCAAGGAGTACAGAACTATGTGACTCCTGCTGATCAGCCAAGGTTTTACAATTTTCATGATTACTCTTTCTTGCCACTGTGGTTTCCCTGTATCACTTCTTTCTGAATATAATAACATCATCGTCATTAATTATAATTACACCTAATCTACCATCTGGTGATTATTTTTCCTTCTTCATTTCTGATTCCTTATATTATTTTTCTGCAACAGTGAACAAATTTAAATTAACCTTCCTATTTACTATGTGTTTACATTTTAAAACATTCTTCATTTTACAAAGACTCTCTTTTTTTTGTTAAAAAAAAAAACCTGCTTTCTTGGGGACACATATATGTATAAAACTAAAGAACTTAAAAATTGTCAAGTTTCTGCTATGCAAATCTCATTCTAGCACTACAACTTCTGTTCAAACAGAGCACAAGTGTTTCTATCCACTTCATCCCAAAAGAGCTGGATAAAAGAAATCCCCTCTTTAGTAACCTGGCCTTGTTTCATGAGCTTTTTTCAAAAGACCACATCCTAATCTGCTAACACTAAGGTAACTACATAACATTACAGTGGATGGAAATCTGTCCAATTACAAATTTTCACAGGCCTGCTATTAAGTTTCAAATAATTGCTCAATTCTTGCATAACACGAGCTATTAACATAGCTTATCATGTAGCATGCCAGTATTGAATTCCCATCTAAGGGGTTATTTAATAATGGCATTGAAATAAAAAAATGAAATCTCTAGACCCTGAGCAATATCACTGCTTTTACATGCTCTGCAGTCTGTAATAGGCTATTAGATAAAAGATAGTAATGCATTCTGGAGGAACAGGTCCATTGACAATGAATAAAGGGCATGATTTTATTCTTGCTTCACAAAGAATGATTTCTGTATCTTTCGTAAAAGAATTATTGTCTTCAAAAGCTTTCAGACTTATATCATTTTGCAGCTGGCATATACCTCTAGTTCTGGACATCTTAAGAAGGAGAGCCAGAAACATTCTAGAATATATACAAAAATATCTCAGAACATGGATGTTTTGAAATGTTAAAATCATGAAGAATTGTAAGTTAATATTATTAATATCTTACATATCTAATGAAGAATAAGGAAGAAAGGAACTGTATCTTGAATATCGGTTATAAGATTTAGAGTATAGAATTTTAAAACATATTTCCTACTAATAAAACAAATATTCACAATACAAATGTTTTAAATTTTTAATGTTTTTTATATATATATGTGTGTGTGTGTGTGTGTGTGTGTCTGTGTGTTTCTAAGTTACTCAAATATTTAATACCAGGACAATTTCTGTATAAATATTCATACATTTTTACTATGTTTTAAATGTTCAAAAATAAATACATTAATAATTCTCAAAGAAGTTCACTCTGATTTTTCTATGATTAGCCAAACACTCAAGGGCAGTGCATATGGAATTTTTAACATCTCCAGGAGCCAGAGTCATCAGAACCTAAGCCAAGCACACTCCATTTCTGTGCCTCACTTACCCTGCAGCTCTTTACCATAAGAGGGAATTTGAAAAAAGACACTTTGCTTTTGTTTAAAAATCATAATGTACTCTCAAGTTACTATGGTGATACCCCCGGGACTTGAAAGGATTTAAAAGTGGCATGAGCTTCCTGTATATGTTCATCATTTAAAATGCTTATCCGTTAAAAGGCAAGTCATTAAACATATTTGAAAAATTTAAGAATTTAAAGTGTTGAGCAAAAAGAAAAAAACAGTAAAGAAACTTCCCATGCTCTTTACAGATATCAAAGAGATTTTGAGTGTGATACTTCCCTTTGATTTGCGAAAATCATTTGAATGCTAAATATTGAATCTCACTACAGCTTAGCCATATATTTTAGTTTATGCTAGTATAGGACAAACTGCCTTTGACGATTTGAAGCAACATAATGAGTATTGTCAGTTCATGTTTTTTGACGGATTCTGAAGAAGAAACAGAAAGAAACTAAAAGATAAAAGAACTATTTTGATTATTTGGAGACAGACCATTGTGGCCATCAGAACATCGTCCACTAGTTTGAGAATTAACCTCAGTAAAAAACAAAGATATTTTGCAGCCATTGTTTTAAAACAAAAGAGAGATCTCTTTTATTAAAGCATCAGACAGGCTACAAAATAAGAAAACTGATTGACCAAGAAGAGAGGATCTGTCAGAATTTTAAAAAGAAAATTAAGCACAGGATCACGGTTTGCCCATCTATCACAGCAAGTTATTTTAGCAAAGTAATGAAGACAATGACCTTGTTTCCATGCAAAACCTGGATTGAGTTACTTTGCAAATTCAGTCAGCTTCATTAACAGCAACAACTACAAAAAGTTTGAAAATATATTCAGTGAGCTTCTTGAAGTTGGCTTATCTATCTTATACATAAATAGTGTATTTCGTTTGGAAGTATCACATGTATTATGGATGCAAGGACAGAGCAAAAGCAGTTTTCAAAGAAAGTTAGAAATAAAGATCTATTTGTTCTCTCACAGTTTTAGCCTAGAGCTGAGATGTCCTAAAGATTCTGAGATACAGGATTTGTTTCAAGGTGTTCTATTTGTATGAAAGATAAGGAAATATTAATATCCTTTTCTGTTTTGGGGGGTGGTACCCACATAAAAGGTGTTAATATCAACATCAAGAAACTCACTGTGGAGGCTCATTTCAAGTATAAAGAACTAACTTTGAATATATATATATATATATATATATATATATATGTATGTATTTATATGTCACTCATCACATGACATATCACATGCATTCATAATAGAAAACTTTTATTAACTTTATTCAGAGAGGCAAGATTTTTAATTGTTGTTTTTTAATATAGTGAGACAGTTGTATACCCCTCCGCTGTTAGAAGTGGCAGTTGGCACAGACCTAATTCTGGGTGCTAATCCCAGCACAGTACCAACTTATTTCATTATGTGGGAGAAAGTTATTTTGCCTCTCTAGGTTTTAATTTTTTTTCTGTGTGAAACAAGTTGAGCAGCATGTTTCTTAAAAAAAAATCAGTATTTTCTGTTCGTTTATGAAACTCGTGGCCAATAACCACTGTGAACATCTATTACATAAGTTGATATCCCTGGAGGGTTTTGTTTGGTTGTTTAACTAAAGAAAGAAAGAAGCTGTTTATTTTTGGTTTTGCTGTATTTCACCCCACCCCACACAGGGGCAACAGAAGGGAGAGGAAGGAAAGCTGAGTTTTCCCTCATCCTCACCACCTTCCTCTATCTTACTTTACCAGGTTTGAGTGACTAATTGGAAGCTCTAAAGAAATTAGAGGTAAATATCTAGCAGCTGAATAAGATTTGTTCATAAAATGCTGGGAGAATCTACTTCCGTTAGGATGTGCCACTTGAGGGCTCTCCTTTGGTGAGGGGGAGATTTCACCATGTTAACAGCAGTACCACAACACGAGCTTCACCCTCAAAACCACACTCATACCTCCCACCGCAGACCTCAGTGCATTAGGAGCGGGCAGGCATGGAGATACAGCCATGACACATGGAAGAGCATTCCTTGAAAAATACCTGAAGAAAGATATCCTGGTGAAGAACCGAGAACACGTGTGGCCTGCGATGTATTTCTATGGGGTGCTCCGAGTCAGTTGTTAAGGGATGAACAAGAATGGACTAAGGTCTTTCATCAGGAGATAGGGAGCTAATAGCCATTATTTTTTTAATTACTTTAATGAGACCTCATTTGTCCTCAGAGATTAGTGCAACTTGCATACAATACAGATTATAACATTATTCTCAATTGGCCACACAGACAGGTTTTGGAATACCTAAACAATGCCCTAAAACTGTCAGAACAGATGAAACCTATTCTGTAGAAAGTGCCACAGAGTGCAGGACAAATCCATGCTCTTAAGAGTTTATTATCTAGTATGTGTAATGAAAAAGTCTTGGAGAGGAGCATGGAGACCTGAGCTATGGCTTTGAGTTTGTCATTGTGTGAAATTAGAGCTGTCCCTTCCTCTCTGTGGGCCTCTTCCCATATAGTCCAAGACCTCAGCTTCCTTCTATGTTAAATGAGGAGCTGAGGTCAATGAAATGAAGATACTCTTATTGCTCTAATTGTATTCTTGTAGTTGGATAGACAAAATCTTATAGAATAGAAAAGAATCTAATAGAATAGACAGAAAATAATAACCAACAATCCAAAGCTATATATGATGAAATGTTAAATTGTGTGCTGAGGACTAAGAGTATTTATAAAAGTTCAAATTAGCTTACCAAGTTGAGAGCTCTTTGAGGGCAGGGACAATGTCAAAGTCATCTTTCAATCATGGGTAGTTAACACTGCACCTAGCACAGAGTATACCTAATTAAACTATTTTAATAATTCCAGTGAATAGATGACAATAAGGTGTATGCAAAATTCTTTGTGTTTTACCAAAATACATTTAAAAGCCTAAACTCAATAAAAACAAGATTAGTTGAAGATTTTTTTCTTTAAGAATGTTGAATATAGGCCCCAAATCTCTTCTGACTTGTAGGGTTTCATCTGAGAGATCTGTTTGTTAGCCTGATAGGATTCCCTATGTAGGTGACCTGCTCTTTCTTTCTAGCTGGCTTTAACATTTTTTTTTCATTTCAACATTAGAAAATCTGATGATTAGGTATCTTAGGGATGATCTTCTTGTGTAGAATCTTGCAGCAGTTCTCTGTATTTCCTGAATTTGATTGCTGGGCTCTCTAGCAAGCTTGAAGAAGTTGCCATGTATGATATCCTAAAATATGTTTTCCAAGTTGTTTGCTTTCTCATTCTCTCTTTCAGGGATGCCAGTGATTTGTAGATTTGGCCTCTTTACATAATCCCATTAATATGGTATGGCTCTGTGTCCTCACCCAAATCTCATCTCGAATTGTCATCTTCACGTGTCAAGGGAGGGGCCTGGTAAGAGGTGATTGAATCCTGGTTGGACATCCCCCTTGATGTTCTCATGATAATGGGTGAGTTCTCATGCGATCTATTTGTTTGAAAGTGTGTGTCCCTTCCCCCTTCCCTCTCTGTCTCTCTTGCCACCATGTGAAGAAGGTCCTTTATTACCCTTTGCGTACTGCCATGATTGTAACTTTCCTGAGGCCTCCCAGTCATACTTCCTGTTATAAGCCTGTGGAACTGTGAGTCAGTTAAACTTATTTTCTTCATAAATTGTTCAGTCACAGGCAATTCTTTATAGCAGTGTGAAAATGACTAATACAGAAAATTGGTACCAGGAAAGATAGGGCATTGTTATCAAGATGCCTGAAAATGTGGAAGCAGCTTTGGAACTGGGTAATGGGTAGAGGCTGGAACACTTTGAAGAGTTCAGAAGATGACAGGAAGATGTTGGAAAGTTTGGAACTTCCTAGAAACTTGTTGAATGGTTTTGGGCAAAATGCTGATAGTGGTATGAAAAATGAAATCCAGGCTGAGGTGATCTCAGATGGAGATGAGGAACTTACTGGGAACCGGAGTAAGGTCAGTTTTGTTATGCTTAAGCAAAGAGACTGGAAGTATTCTGTCCCTCTTCTAGACATCTGTGGAACTTTGAACTTAAGAGAGATGATTTAGGGTATCTGGAAGAAGAAATTTCTAAGCAGTAAAGCATTCAGTATTTGGCCTGGCTGTTCCTATCAGTGTATAGTCATTTGCATTCACAAAGAAATAGTCTGAAATTAGAATTTATGTTTAAAAGAGAAGCAGAGCATAAAAGTTTGGAAAATTTTCAACCTGACCATGTGGTAGAAAAGAAAAACCCATTTTCTGGGGGGAAATTCAAGCCAGCTGTAGAAATTTGTATAAGTAAAAATAAGCCAAATGTTAATAGCCACGACGATGGGAAAAATGTCTTCAGAGCATGTGAGAGAACTTCCTGGCAGGCCCTTCCATCACAAGCCTAGAAGCTCAGGAGGAAAAAATGGTTTTGTGGGCCAGGCTTAGGGCCCCTGGGACATGGCACCCTGTGTCCCAGACATGGCTAGAAGTGGCCAAGGTACAGCTAGGGCCATTGCTTCAGAGGGTGTATGCCCTATGGATTGGTGGCTTTCATGTGGTGTTGGGCCTTCGGGTGTGCAGAAGGCAAGAGTTGAGGTTTGAAAGCCTCCATCTAGATTTCAGAGGATGTATGGAAACACCTGGATGCCCAGGCAGAAGTCTGCTGCAGGAGAAGAGCCCCCATGGAGAACGTCTACTAGGGCAGTGCAGAGGGGAAATGTGGGGTTGGAGCCCCAGCACAGAGTCCCCATGGGAGAGCTGTGAGAAGAGGGCCACTGTCCTCTAGACCCCAGAATGGTAAATCCACCAACACCTCACACTGTGTGCCTGGAAAAGCTGCAGGCACTTAATGCCAGCCACTGAAAGTAGCCATGAGGGCTGTACCCTGCAAAGCCAGAGACACAGAGTTGCCCAAGGCTTTGGGAGCCCACCCCTTGCATCAGCGTGCCCTCAATATGAGACATGGAGACAAAAGTGCTCATTTCAGAGCTTTAAATTTTAATGACTGCCCTGCTAATTTTCAGACCTTCTTGGGGCCTGTAGTGCCTTTGTTTTGACCAATGTCTCCCCTTTGGAGTGAGAACATTTATCCAATGCAGGTACCCCCATTGTATATTGGAAGTAACTAACTTGTTTTTTATTTTACAGGCTCGTAGGCAGAAGGGACTTGCCTTGTGTAAGATGAGATTTTAGACTTGGACTTTTGTGTTAACGCTGGAATGAGTTAAGACTTTAGGGGACTGTTGGGAAGGCATGACTGCATTTTGAAATTTGAGAAAGATATAAAATTTTGGAAGTGCAGGGGCAGTATAATATGGTCTGGCTCTGTTTCCCCACCCAAATCTCATCTTGAATTGTAATCCCCATGTGTCAAGGGAAGGGCCTGGTAGGAGGTAATTGAATCAGGGTGGTGGACTTCCCCCTTGCTGTTCTCATGATAGTGAATGAGTTCTCAGGAGACATGTTTGTTTGGAAGTGTGTGGCACTTCCCTTTTTGCTTTTTCTCTCCTGCTCCACCATGGGAAGATATGCTTTGCTTCCCCCTTTGCCTTCCTCCATGACTGGAGATAAGTTTCCTGAGGCCACCCCAGCCATGTGGAACTGTGAGTCAATTAAACCTCTTTTCATAAATTACCCAGTCTCTGGTAGTTCTTTATAGCACTGTGAGAATGATGAATACACCCATACATTTTGGAGGTTTTGTCCGTTCCTTTTTATTATTTTTTCTTCATTTTTGTCTGACTGTCTTATTTGAGAGATTCTTTCCTCAACTTGGCTTATTCTGCTGTTAATACTTGTGATTCCATTGTGAAATTCTTGCATCGTGTTATTCAGCTCTGTCAGACCTGTTAGCTTCTATTTTACACAAACTATTTAGTCCCTCTGCCATTCTTAATAGAACTAGAAAAGGCTATTTTAAAATTCATATGGTACCAAAAAAGAGCCTGGAGAGCTAACAAGGCAATCCTAACCAAAAAGAATAAAGCTGGAGGGATCACATTACTTGACTTCAAACTATATTACAGGTCTATAGCAACCAAAACAAGATGGTACTGGTACAAAAACAGGTACATAGACCAGTGGAACCGAATAGAGAGCCCAGAAATAAGGCTGCACACCTACAACCATATGATCTTTGACAAAGCTGACAAAAACAAGCAATGGAAGAATGAATCCTTATTTAATAAATTGTGCTGGGATAACTGGCTAGCCATATGCAGAAGATTAAAGCGGGACCTTCCTTACACCTTATAAAAAATTAACTTAAAATGGCTGAAGACTTAAATGTGAAACCCAAAACTATAAAAACCCTGGAAGATAACCTAGGCAATACCATCCTGCACATAGGTACGGGCAAAGATTTCATGACAAAGATACCAAACACAATCACAAAAAAAGCTAAAATTGACAACTGGGATGTAATTAAACTTAAGAGCTTCTGCGCAGCAAAAAGAAACTACCAACAGTGTAAACAGACAACCTACACAGAGGGAGAAACATTTTGCAAACTATGCATCTGACAAAGGCCTGATATATTGCACCTATAAGAAACTTAAACCAATGTAGAAGAGAAAAATAAACAACTCCATTGAAATACGGAAAAAACATAAACAGACACTTTTTAAAAGTAGACATATATGCAGCCAACAAGCACGTGAAAAAAAGCTCAATATCAGTGGTTACTAGAGAAATGCGACACCATCTCACACTTGTCAGATGGCTATTGCTAAAAAGTCAAAAAATAACGGATGCTGGAGAGATTGTGGAGAAAAGGGAACACTTATACACTTTTGGCTGGAGTATAAATTAGTTCAACCATTGTGGAAAGCATTGTGGTGATTTCTCAAAGAGCTAAAAGCAGAACTACCATTTGACCCAGCAATCCCATTACTGGGTATATGTCCAGAGGAATATAAATCATTCTACTATGAAGACACATGCATGTGAATGTTCACTGCAGTCCTCTTCACAAAAGCAAAGATATGGAATCAACCTAAATGCCCATGAATGACAGACTGGATGAAGAAAATGTAGTACATATACACCAAAGAACACTATGCAGCCATTAAAAATTGAGATCATATTTTTTGTGGAAGCAAGGATGGAGCTGGAAGCCACTATACTTAGCAAACTAATGCAGGAATAGAAAACCAAATACTGTATGTTCTTATTTATACATGGAAGCTAAAATATGAGAACTTATTGTATTAGACCATTTTCATGCTGTTGATAAAGACATACCTGAGACTGGGCAATTTACAAAAGAAAGAGGTTTAATTGGACTTACAGTTCCACATGGCTGGGGAAGCCTCACAATCATGGTGAAAGGCAAGGAGGAGCAAGTCACGTCTTACATGGATGGCAGCAAGCAAAGAGAGATTTTGCAGGAAAGCTCCCCTTTATAATAACTATCAGGTCTTGTGAGACTTACTCACTATCACGAGAACAGCACAGGAAAGTTCAGCCTTTGTGATTCAATTACCTCCCATGGGGTCCCTCCAACAACATATTGGAATTTAAGATGAAATTTGGGTGGGGACACAGACAAACCATATAATTCTGCCCCTGGCCCTCCCAAATCTCATGTTCTAACATTTCAAAACCAATCATGCCTTTCCAACAGTCCCCCAAAATCTTAACTCATTTCAGCATTAACTCAAAAGTCCATAGTCCAAAGTCTCATCTGAGACAAGGTCAGTCCCTTCCACACATGAGCCTGTAAAATCAAAAGTAAGTTAGTTACTTCCTAGATACAATAAGAGAACAGGCACTGGATAAATACAGCCATTTGAAATGGGAGACATTGGCGAAAATGAAAGGACTTACAGGCCCCATGCAAGTGTGAAATCCAGCAGGGCAGTCAAATCTTAAAGCTGCAAAATAATCTCCTTTGACTCCATGTCTCACATCCAGGTCACGCTGATGCAAGAGGTCGGTTCCCATGGTGTTGGGCAACTCTGCCTCTGTGGCTTTGCAGGGTATATCCCCCCACTTCTCGCTGCTTTCATGGGTTGGTGTTGAGTGTCTGTGGATTTTCCAGGTGCACAGCGCAAGCTGTCCATTGATCTACCATTCTGGGGTCTGAAGGACGGTGGTCCTCTTCTCACAGCTCCACTAGGTGGTGCCCCAGTAGGGACTCTGTGTGTGGGCTCCAATCCCACATTATCCTTCTGCACGGCCCTAGCAGACGTTCTCCATGAGGGCCCTGCCCCTGCAGCAAACTTTTGCCTGAACATCCAAGGTGTTTCCATACATCCTCTGAAATCTAGGCGGAGGTTCCTAAACCTCTATTCTTGCCTTCTGTGCACCCACAGTCTCAACACCACATGGAAGCTGCCAAGGCTTGGGGGTTCCACCCTTTGAAGCAACAGCCCAGGCTGTACCTTGCTTGGCCCCTTTTGGTCATGGCTGGCGTGGCTGGGACACAGGGCATCAAGTTCCTAGACTGAACACAGCATGGGAACCCTGGGCCCAGCCCACAAAACCATTTTATCCTAAGCCTCCTGGCCCTGTGATGGGAGGAGCTGCTGTGAAGACCTCCTGACATGCCCTGGAGACGTTTTCCTCATTCCTTTGGGGATTATCATTTGGCTTCTCATTACTTATGCAAATTTCTGCAACCAGCTTGAATTTCTGCTCAGAAAATGGGTTTTTCTTTTCTATCACACTTTCAGGCTGCAACTTTTCCAAACCTGTATGCTCTGCTTTCCTTATAAAACTGAATGTCTTCACAGCACCCAAGTCACTACTTGAATGCTTTGCTGCTTATAAATTTCTTCCGACAGATACCCTAAATCATCTCTCTTGAGTTCAAAGTTCCACAGATCTCTAGGACGGGGCAAAATCTCACTAGTCTCTTTGCTAAAACATAACAAGAATCACCTTTTCTCCACTTCCCAAAATTCCTCCTCTCCATCTGAGACCACCTCAGCCTGCACCTTATTGTTCATATCACTATAAGGCTTTTGGTCAAGGCCATTCAACAAGTCTCTAGAAAGTTCCAAACTTTCCCACATTTTCCTATCTTCTGAGCCCTCCAAACTGTTCCAGCTCCCACCTGTTACCAAGTTCCAAAGTCATTTCCACATTTTTGGGTATCTTTTTAGCAGTGCCCCACTCTACTGGTACCAATTTACTCTATTAGTCCATTGCTGCAGATAAAGACATACCTGAGATGGGGCAATTTACAGAAGAAAGAGGTTTAATTGGACTTACAGTTCCACGTGGCTGGGGAAGCCTCACAATCATGGCAGAAGACAAGAAGAAGCAAATCACATCATACATGGATGGTAGCAAAAAAAGAGAGAGCTTGTGCAGGAAAACTCCCCCTTAAACTAACCATCAGATCTCATGAGACTTACTATCACAAGAACAGCATGGGAAGGACCTGCCCCCATGATTCACTTACCTCCCAAGTGGAAATTCAAGATAAGATTTGGGTGGGGACACAGCCAAACTGCATCACTTACGAACACAAAGAAGAAAACAATAGACACTGGAGTCTACTTCAGAGTGGAGGGTGGGAAGAGGGAAATAAATATAAAAGAAAACTATTGCATACTAAGCCTAACACCTGGGTGATGCAATCTGTACAACAAACGCCTGTGACACAAATTTACATATGTAACAAACCTTCACATGTGCCTCTGATACTAAAATAAAAGTAAAAAATAAAACCCGAGAAATATACATTAAGCACTTAACATATTCTAGGCACTGGACTAAGTATTTTTATGTAAGCTTAATGTTCACAGATTCCCCCTAAATTAGGTACTGTTTTAATCCCTTTAAATATATGAGACAACTGAGACTAGAAAAAGATTCAAAACCATGCCTGAATATGAAAACAGTGATCTTTACATGTGTCTTGTTTTCTCATCCGTGATGATGACTTTCACTTGATTTACACATATTTCCTACTACTGAATTGAATCCATGTACTCTGGATATATTTCTCAACCATTCTCCATTGTAAATATTTCCCTTCAATGTAGCTCTTAGATTTAATCTATAACTGCATGGAGGCAGTTTACCACATTGCATGTAAACCCATATACACACGTAGTCCTATCCCTTGAACATGAACTTGATAAGAAAGTATGACTAAATAAGAAAAAACAGTGTTTACTCATTTTCATGTTTTAGCACTTGCATTGCAGTAGCAACAAAAATAGAAAATGGTTTTTATTGTCACATTAATTAATTCCAATCTCTGCTTACCAAATGCATGACCTGCTTACTGAAAGGAAGATATTTCCTTAGCTGCAGTTGTTCCAGAATTTCCTTATAAGGAAATAAATAGAGAAAATATTGGTCTGTCCCACTCTCCCTCTGAGAAAAAAGAATATCTTTGCAGGTTGATTATACTTTTAATACAGAAAAGTTGGCTTTAAAATTGGTCATGTTCTATAAATAATGGTATCCAAAAGCCATCTCTATTCCAATTGAATCAAAAGTCCTCTAGAAATGGTCTTTCATAGGGAAATCTTTAGTAGAATGGTGAATGGAAAATAAATCTCTCTGGAATTATTTTATAAAGGCTGTAGTCTACAGATATTAATCTAATTTGGCTTCATTTATCTAATTTGGCTTCGTTTGTCCTTTTTATCTGAATTTTTCTTCTCATATGCATCTTTGTCAGATGACTTATGAAGGAGACAGTTAAAAATTGATTTTCTAAACTTTTATCATGAATTTGTGTGCCAGAGGTAAATGAGTTTCTCAATTCTAGGTCCTACCTATATCCCCATTAAGAAAAGTTGCCTACATTTCTTTAGTGGCCACTTTAGTATGACCAAAACTATGCTAGTTTGCTTATAATATATAATCGAATATGTTTAAGTAAACCTTTTGGAATTACCAAGATCAGAAGCTAGGCTGATCTTTACTGTCATTTCTCTGGACCATAGAATTTCCAGTTTGTGTAGAGTCGAATATTCTACAGAGACCATTGTTAAAGTGGTTGATCAGAAGTAAAGCAATTAAAAATACATTAGGCAATGACGATCCTATGTTGATCTCTAGTTAATCTTGTTTCTTTAAATTCATATGAAATAAAATCACTCAATTCGTTTAAGTAAAGAAAAAATATAATTAAAATATGTATAAACACCCTGACAAAGGTCTTGTAGGGCAGATATTCTTTTACACAGCTACAAATAGTACTTTATGTTCCTAGGGATTATATAGAATGTGTAAGTTTTCTAAAATGTACTTTTTATGCATAAAGTATTTATAAAATAAAATAGTAATATTCCCAAAAATACTTACAGAGAATTTCAATTTTTAAGGTATGTGGACTAAGGAAATAATCAGAGGTTATGTACCCCAATTATGTACATATTTATGTCTTCAATAGAGATCATGCTTTAGGAAACATAGTTTTATAAATCCATTTACCTTTGCATCAATTTCACTTAGATATCTTACAGATATGTCAAATTCATTATGTTCAAAATGACTTTTGAAATTTCTCTTACAAATTTCTTCTCCAATACCATGTTTTAAAATACTTTTAACTTTTATTTGAGGTTCCGGGAGTACATGTGCAGGTTTGTTACAAGGGTATATTGTGTGACACTCAGTATATGTGCAGGTTGTATGATATGGGTGTCAGTGATCCCATTACCCAGGTAGTGACCATGGTGCCCAATAGGCAATTTTTCAGGCTTCACCCCTTCCCCGTCTCCCCATGTTTATTGTGGCTATTTTTATGTCAGTGAGTACCTGTATTAGTATATTCCCATGCTGTTAATAAAGACATACCCAGACTGGGTAATTTACAAAGAAAGAGGTCTAATTGACTCACAGTTCAGCATGGCTGGGGAAACCTCAGGAAACTTGCAACTATGGTGAAAGGAGAAGCAAACACATCCTTCTTCATACGGCGGCAGGAGGGAGAATGAGAGCCAAGTGAAGTGGGAAGCCCCTTATAAAACCATCAGATCACTATCACGAGACCAGTATGGGGAAAATCACCCCCAGGATTTAAATTATCTCTACCTGGTCCTGCCCTTGACATGTGGGGATTATTACAATTCAAGATAAGATTTTGAGTGGAAACACAGATAATCTGTATCAGTACCCAGTGTTTAGCTTCCACTTATAAAAGGTAACATGTGGTATTTGGTTTTCTGATCTGGGGTTAATTTGCTTAGGATAATTGCCTCCAGATGCATCCATGTTGCTGCAAAGAATATGATCTCATTTTTTATAGCTGTGTAGTATTCCATGGTGCATATGTATCAGATTCTTTTTCCAGTGTACTGTGGATGGGTACCTAGGTTGACTCCATGTCCTTGCTATTGTGAATGGTGCTGCAGTGAACATATAAACCGCATGTGTCTTTTTGGTAAAACAATTCATTTGTTTTCCCTTAGGTATATATTCACTAATGGAATTGCTGGGTTGAATGGTAGTTCTGCTTCAAGTTTTTTGAGAAATTTCCAAACTGCTTTCCACAATGACTGAACTAATTTACATTTCCACCAAGAGTGTATAAGAGTTCCCTTTTCTTTACAGCCTTGCCAGCATCTGTTGATTTTTGACTTTTTAATAATATCCATCTGACTGGTGTGAGATAATATCTCATTGTGGTTTTGATTTGCATCTCTCTGATGATTTGTGATACTGAACATTGTTTCATATGTTTGTTGGCCACTTGTATGGCCAACATACAAGTTTTCTTTTCATAAGTGCCTGTTCATCTTTTGCTGACTTTCTAATGGGGTTATTTATTTTTTGTTTGTTGAGTTATTTAAGTTCCCTATAGATCCTGGATATTAGACCTTTGTTGGAGGTGTCATTTGTGAATATTATTTCCCATTCTGTAGTTTGTCTGTTTACTCTGTTGGTAGTTTATTTTGCTGTGCTGGAACTCTTTAGTTTAATTAGATTCCACTTGTCCATATTTGTTTTTGTTGCAATTGCTTTTGAGGACTTAGCCATAAAGCAAAGGCTAAGACTGTAAAAAATGGTATTTCCTAGGTTTTCTGCTAGGATTTTTATAGTCTGAGATCTTGCATTTAAATCTTTAAACCATTTTGAGTTAATTTTTGTGTGTAGTGAGATAGGGGTCCTGTTTCTTTCTTCTGCCTATGACTAGCCAGTTATTCTAGCACTGTTTATTGAACAGGGAGTTCTTTCCCCATTACTTATTTTTGTCATCTTTGTCAAAGATCAGATAGTTTCAGGTGTGCAGCCTTATTTCAGGATTATTATTCTGTTTCATTGGTCTATGTGTCTGTTCTTGTACCAGTACCATGCTGTTTTAGTTACTGTAGCCTTGTAGTATAGTTTGAAGTTGAGAATGTCATACTTCTGACTTTGTTCTTTTTGCTTAGGCTCCTTTTCAGTACCATATAAATTTTAGATTAGTGTTTTCTAATTCTGCAAAAAATTGCATTGGTAGCATTGCATCTGTAGATTGCTTTGCACCACATGGCCATTTTAACCATATTAATTCTTCCAGCCCATGAGCATAAAATGTTTTTCCATTTGTTTGTGTCATCTATGTTTTCTTTAAGCAGTGTTTTGTAGTTTTTCTTGTAGAGATCTTTCACCTCATTGGCTAGCTGTATTTATAGGTATTGTGTGTGTGTGTGTGTGTGTGTGTGTGTGTGTGTGTGTCTATTTTAAATGGGATTGCATTTTTTTTTTTGATTTGGCATTGAGCTTGAGCATTATTGGTGTATAGAAATTCTGCTGATTTTTGTAGCTTACTGTTTGGCACTCCATTTTTTCACATTCTCAGGATGGTAAACTGGAAAACTTCTTTTCACATCTCTCATCCTTATTCCCTTACATCTGACCCATGTACTATCATTTTTGCCTTCAAGTTATAAGGAGACTCTCTACTTACTTCCATTTCCACTGCCACTACCCCAGAGTAAACCACCATTCTTTCTCACCTGGGTTACTCAAAGAGCCTTCAAACTGATCACCTGGCATCTAATATAGTCCTCCTCTAAGTTATTTTCCCCTTACAAGCAAGAGTAATCTTTTACAATTTCGAGTGTACCTTGCTATTTAAGTCCTTTAATGGTATCCCTTTGCGTTTAATGTGGAATAAAAAACTTAAAGAGGCTCATACAACCCTGCAGGAATAGGTATTTGCTGGCCTCTCCAACCTCATCTGATTCCAGTCTCTACTACTACCTCTTATAACATTTTAGCCACATTCATTTTCTTTTGGTTACTAAAAAGTTGGCTTCTACTCTAGAGACTTTGTACTTGCCATATTATCTCCTTGGGATTCTTTCTCCTCTCTCTTTTCCTATTAATTTCTTTTCTTTAATATATTTTAATTAATGCATATTTATTTGTAAAATTTAAATTTTATGTAAATTGTTTAGAACTTTTTAGAAGGATTTCTTGTTATTTTAGAATCTCTAATTTTTTCAGCTTTATGAAAGTTTAACTGAGATATAACTGTGAAAACTAAATGGTGTTCAGTTTAACTATGTGTGGCTTATTATTTCTCAATTATACTTTCATGAAGCTGAAAAACTAGTGGATGTAAAATAACAAGATCTTATAATGAGCATATCCCTTATTTCCAAAAATCTTCTCGTGTCTCTCTTTAATCCCTCCTTCTTTTTCCCTTGCTCTCATCATTCCTGTCCCCATGCAACCAATGACCTGACCTCTGTAATTATAAATTAGTTTAAATGTTTATTAATTTTCTACATGGACCCTTAGAAATACACTTTTTGGGGAGGTTGGTTCTGGCTTCTATTTCTCAGCATAATTATTATATCCATGTTGCTGCAGGTATCAAGATATCATTTCTATCTATTCCTGTGTAACATCCCATTGTATGGATACACCAAAATGTGCTTATTTGCTTACATATTAATAGACATATGGGTTGTTTCCAGTTTTGGGCTACTATAAATTACATACCTATGAGCATTTATTTACAAGTCTTTAAATAGATGTGTGCTTTCATTCCTCTTGGTGAAATATAGACTGTGGAATAGCTGAACTCTGTGGTGTGTGTATGCTTATTGTTTTAAGAAAATGCCAAACTTTTTCAAAGTGATACCATTCTACTTTTCTACCACATTGTATAAGTGTTCTAGTTCCTCCACATCCTTTCCAAAACTTGGTACAATCTTTTAAATTTTGAATTTAGAGTGCAGTGACATCTTATTGTAGTTTTAATTTGGTCTTTCTAATGACTAATAACGGTAATCATCATTTCATTTGCTTATTTGACATCTGTATGCCTCCTTATTGAAATAGCTGTTCAAATATTTTAAAAATTTAGTTTAATCTCTCATTATTGTGTTATAAGAGTGTTGTGTATATCATAAATATTCTGAATGCAAGTGCTTTGTCAGATATATATTTTGCAAAAATTTGCTTCTTATCTATAGTTTGCTGTCTCATTTTTGTAAACAGTCTCTTTTCAATAGCAAAAGTTTTAACTTGAATGAAATTTAACTTAAAGATATTTTGTTTTCACTTTGAAATTGTAATGTCTCATTTAAAAAATGTTTGCCAAATCTAAACTCACTAAATTTTCTTTATGCTTTCTTCTAGACATTTTATAATTATAGCTCATACAGTTAAGTATAAAATATATTTTGAAATATTTTTGTATATGTTATGAAATCAAGGATGATGCTAATATTTTTTTCACAAGGTTTTGTAATTTTTAGCACAGTAATTGAAAAAAATTCTCCATTGGATTGTCTGGAATCTTTGTCAAAAACTCATCATATATATGTAGGGCAGTTTCTAGACCTTTATTTTGTTTTATTTGTCTGTGTTTGTCAATGTCACATGGTATATTTTTTTCTGTGAAGAAACTTGGCAGATACTGTTTTAATAAAGTAATCAAATTTAATATTGTAAGCAATAAGGTTAACCAATATTATGTACCTCCTGATAGACTATACTGAAGAGAACAAGATATCATTTAGTATTCCTGTTCAAAACACAAAAGCTAAATACAATTATGAGGAAATATATCCAACCAAAACTGGGAGTAGCATTCTACAAGATAACTGGCTTAAATAGGTCAAGAATATCAAAGCCATAAAATATAAATACAGACTAAATAGCTAGTAAAGTTTAAATAATTAAAGGCTAGGGAGAAATGAATAAAATATATAAACTTGAATGGAATCCTTCAGCAGAATTTCTTCTTTTGCTATAATTGACATTATTGGGAGAGCTGGTAAAATTTTAATACAATCTAAATATTAAATAATTGTACTGTATCAATACTAACTTCTTCATTTTCATAATTATAATATGGCTACGTAATTCAATGTCCTTGTTGTTGGGAAACATATACACACACAACCACATTCACAGAAAGGCAGCAATAAGAAGACAAATGTAGTTAAATAGTAACAACCGAGAAAACTGGGTGAAGGGTAAACCAGAGTTCTTTGCAGTATTTTTGCAACTTTTCTGTATATCTGAAATTATTTCAATATAAAGTTACAGAAAAATTTAATGATGTTAAAGAATAGAGAACTGCAAAAAAGTATATATTATATTTTTAAGTGAAAAAAGCAGGTTTTAAAACTATATATTAGTATATATTTACTTAAAATGCCACAAAGAAAAATAATAACAATATTTAGATATAAAGGATGGAATTGTGTGTGATTATAACTTTTGTTCTTTATACATTTTAATATTATGTAAGTACTACAATAGATACGCATTATTTTTATCATCTGAAAAATGATCAAACATATTTTATAAGTAATTACATAGTTTAAGGCCAAATATCTATCTCTTGAAAGTTAACACGCATTGTATTCTTTTTTCCTCTTCCTCTGATAATTAACATGTACTTGATTTCCACTGAAGACTTTTTGAACTCTTAAAATAACCTCCTTCTGTGACTATAGACTTAGGAATTGCAGCTTTCAATCCCTTATAACTGTAATTCTCTGAAAGCAAGAATGACTAATATTTAAGAGCAGATGACTGTGAGTTAAATGGACTTGATTATTCAAATTTATTTACTAGCTGTGTGATCCAAGAGAAATTATCCTAATTATTCAGTTTCTTTATTTTTCAAATAGGGAAAATACTAGTAAGTATCTCATGATGTTCATTAAAGGATGAATTGCACTCCTTTCAAAAAAAAATTTATATGCTAAAATCCTAAGCCCAAACACCTTAGACAGTGACTATGTTTGGAGACAAGGTTTCTACACAGGTGGTTTGGTTGAAACGAGAGCATTAGGATGTGCCCTAATCCAGTATGTCTAGTGTCCTTATAAGAAGAAATTTAGACACCAAGGGAAGACAACGTGAAGAGACAGAGGAAGACAGCAATTTACAAGCCAAGGAAAGAGACCTGGAACAGATCCTTTCCTCATGGCCCTCAAAGGGAATCAACCTTGCTGACACCCTGATTCTAGCCTCCAGAACTGTGAGCAAATAAATTACTGTTGTTTAATTCATCTAGTCTGTAATACTTTGTTATGGCAGCCCTTGCAAACTAATATAGGGCTATAGGGAGCATTAAATGAGACCACATGAGTAAATTCTTAGCAAGCGGTTGGTGCAAAAGAAACTCAATAAATTATTGTTCTTAAAATATGGAAGTTCACATGATTAGCTACAGAATATTTCTGTATGGTAATCCTAAAATAAAATACAATTGCAAATTTCTCATTAATTCTTAAAACAAATCAGATGCTGCAACCTGAAAAATCTCTCTTAAAATAATAATTATAATCATATATTAAAAGTGACTTTAGAGTTCATCTAGTCTGGATTTTCTTGTTTCATTTTTCTTCTTTCAGAATACAGAATTTATATAATTTTTGTCCAGGTTGAAAGCAATTCAGAGGCAAAATTATGTTTGTAGTAGAGACTTCCAGACTTTCATTCAAAAATTATTTTAAAACATAGCATGTTGCATATAGCTATGTTTGTTTCATCTGATAAAAGTGCTATTTTGTTGAGCAAAAGGTTTCTTTTTTCTTTTTCTCTACATTCTCTTCAAAATAAATTTTTATTTTTCTATATTTGCATAAAATACATAAGTTAATTGCCCAAATGACTTGCATTACATTGGAAAACATTGTCTTTTGAATAGGAAGATTATGCCCAAGAAACATCTTTAGATTCTATGAAGCATTAGGGTGCTTCCTTTATAGCAGGCATAGTCACATTTATTGCCATGGAGCCTGTCCGAATCCTATTTTAAAAGCTGGGTCAAGCCAGATGGCCACGTTAGCGTAGCACTGAAGTGAAGGTTCATGAGTCCAGATAAACTCTGAGGCAGCCTGATGCCATACAACTCGGGGTAGGAGTGATATACTAAATTTGATTGAAAGACAAGCAAGGTCATATTTGGGAACAAACTACTGAGCACCAGATCTGAAAGCCAAGACTGAAAAACAAAATGAACAACTGGTCTGGAAGTTGGGTGAATTAAAAACATAACAGAAAGTTTTCCTAAAATAAATTGAGAAGTGAGAAAAATAGAAATAGAAAAATATACAGTGATAAAGATGAAGAGATATAGTAACAAATATGTTAAGACATTATTCTGTGCAATGCCATGTCTGTGCGTCAGTCAGGAACAGGTGCTAAAAAAGAAGCATGTAGGGTTGGAGGGAACCCTAATGTGTTCACTCTCCATATGGGATACATAAGTGAAGTTCTGGTCAAACTATTGATCTCCTCTATTCGTCCTTACTTTGCTATCCACTTCCAGCAATTTTGTTTATTCATATGATGACCAGTAAGGGCAAAGCAGAAAACAAATCAGAGATAGAAGAAAACAATCATTATTCAAATTGTACAGTTGTTCCAGATCTACTTTGCTCAGCACGCCTCCTGTTTCTAAGGTTGGGACAACTTGACCTTTAGTTGCATGATCAAGTCCACTCCAATATCAAGATTTAATTCTGAACATAGATAGGAAAGGTCTAAGAAACTTAATAATCACTCAATATTTTCAGGAATGTTGTTGGTCTAATCTCATCTCAATAACTGAGTCTGTGCCTTATTTCTCTGGTTAAGTCTTTCCTAATACCCAAGTCTTAAATCAGGATTGTGCTTTTGACATCTTAGTCCAGGCGTCTCTCTTGATTACTAACACAGTACAGTGCCCCCAGGTTTGGAATCCTTTTGTCTTTGCCAGTCCTCCAGGAATGACAGCTTGTGCACAAAAGCCAGATGTATGACTCAGTCCTGTTTTCTTCCGCTACCCAAGGAATCCTGGCTCTCCTGGCTCTGCTCTGCTTGTCAGCCAGAGGCACCTGGCACTGCAGTTGGTGTTCCTTCTTATGCTAGATGGTGTCTTGAGTAACCTCTTACTCTACGATATGCTGTCTACATTAGGAAGACTGCTGTATAGGCCTTCCTAACATTATCTTAACAAGGCTAAGTGTCCCAACATTAGCTCTGTATGGCATCATCTTCTCTGTCCCTAATTGGGCTCTCCTGCTTTGTCATCAATTCAGCTTTCAGACTGATGTTGTCCTCAAACTCCCTAAAAGTTTTGAACTTGGAAGTAGGGTACAAATATGCCAACACTCTAGCACTAGAAGAGTAGCCCCTCCTTACCTTCCCCTATAACTATGTAATATACCCAGAAACTATCATGTGTTGTTCATTTACCATCAAGAAGGAAGAAACATTCTCAGTGGCTTAATAGAATAGGTTACGTATTAGGTTAGGCCATGGTAAGAAACACTTTCAAATCTCAGTGGTTTAAAACAAAAAAACAAACAAAGAAACAGTTATTTCTTGCTCATACCTTATAACCATATTGGGTTGGTAAGGGAGGATTCCCTCCTGTCATCACTCTAGGCCTCAGTCAGCCACTGTCTTGAACATTTGCAATTCTTATGACAGAGGAGAAGAGAAAATGTCCTATGCCTCACACAGGCCATTGAGTATTCATCCAGGAAGTGACACATACTTCTGTCCACAACACATTGACCAGAATTAGTTACTTGACCTCACCCAAGCCCAAAAAGATCTACCAAATGCTTAGAATGGGGAGAACTGGAAATTTTGTCAAAGAGCACTAGTAACTGTCACTGCAGCCAAGCTCACTGTTAGTACCAAGACCTGCCTTTTCCAAAATCAGGAAGCACAGGAAAAAAGAGACAAGAAGTAAAGAAAAATAAACCCTAGTGCCCAGAAAATGAAATAGAGCATTGAACTGCTGAAGTGGAGGTAGAGGCAGGAAACAGGAGTTATAGAGATGAGAAGCATCATTACTGACAGAAAAGAGGTAAGACCAAAGATCAACAGTAGCCACTAGAACAGAGGAAAGTGTCCAGGGAAAGTGTTCAGAATGTGGCATTCTGAAAGTAGTGACAGGCCCAGCCCTCTATACTTCAATAATCTCCAAAGTTAGCATTTGTTTACACTTTACCAAAAGAGTTGTTATATTCATTTGACTCTGTTAATAGGACACATTAGCAGTTTCAGTGTCAAATATGAAAATTTGAAATATTAGTCTAATATGCTTACAAGGCTACATTCATTTAAGAATAAGAGGGGAGAGCTCTTTGGAATGTAGATGCAATTTCCTTTCACATTAATGAAATGAAGAATGTTGCACGTGAAGTGACTTTTGCCACAGAGTAGAGATAGTGTTAGAAGGCAAGAGTTTCTACTTCCACTCTCCAGTGTTAATAAATCACTGGTTTCAAAGTCAACTTAGAACTTCCTGGCAGGGAAATCTTGAGGGGCCACAACTTGCACAGCATGCCTGTTGTTGTGGTGAGGTATAGTGATCTCTGACTGCTTATCTTTGAGAAATATTTCATGTAGAGGAATTCCAGCTGGGTTACTTTTTAACTTCTGAGATGACCCAGTCTTCAGTAACGCAATGGATTTCGTGAACATCATATGAGAAGCTTTCGCTTCTGATTTAAACTTAAAAAATAAGTAACTGATTATGGGATCTCTCCTGAAGATTTCAAACAGGAAATAGCTAATCACACCTTAGTAAGTTCCATATTTAAACACATACAAATAACAATGATGTTATGGCTGGTTTGGGGACCTTCTGCAGCACTTGCACCCACAATCATTCATATCGCTCCTATCTCCAAGAATGGTTTGAAATAAGAACTATGACAAATGACATTTTTTAAATGTTAAAATAATGGATGAAGGCCAAGGAAGCCCTTAAGTAATGTATGACAACATCTTCAAAATGTATGTTTGAAGTGAAAAACAAAGCAAGGCACAGTGCAGAGTGAGTGTGCTACTCTGCTGGAGAAAAAAAAAATAAAAGCTAATATGTATTGCTACTTAACTTGTTCATGTATAAAAATGTTTGGAAGGATATAAAAATGTAATAACAGTGTTTATTTGTGGATGAGGGGATGTTGTGGGGAGTGCTATGGAATGGGAACTGGGAGGATAGGAGGATAGGGAAAGGGATTAGAAGGAGAAAAAATTTTGCCAGCAACACACACACACAGACACACACACATCCCCACAATTTTTGTCTTGTACATGTCTTATTCAAAAATTTTAAAGAGTAGCATGTGACATTAAAACGAATTACTCACTAATTAAAATTAAAGTAAAATAATGGTCAAGACCGAGTAATAAAACTGTATAGGATTGTGCATTGGGTTATTTGTATGCAATAAACATGGTGATATAAAGTTTAGTAACATTGAAAAAATATAGTATTTGCCTAAAAAGTTCCATCAGGTTTTATGCACCCAATTCTGACAATTTATGGAATTTAAAAAATAAGCCAAATTAGAAATGGCAGCATGTTAGTGTAGATCAAATTTATCATTTCATTTTTTTAAGAGTGATTTTGAGAACTTTCTAAGAATTAGGGAGTCATTTGTTAGAGCTGTATAATTTCTCTATGATTTGAATAATTCATCAAGTTAGAGTAGTTTGAGAACATCCAGTGGATGCTGAGTTGTACTGGTGCAGCTCCTCAAGAAAAGTTATGGTTTACCTGAGCCATAGTTTATCTGAATAAGACCCAGCATCATAAATCCTCTCTGTAGTGAACTCTTTACTTAATAGAATGTTTAAGAGAGAAGTGGAGGACAATAAAGCATCCCACAACCATGAAACTCTGACATGTTTCTCACTGTTTGGACTCTCATATTCCAGACACCTCACATTTCCAGCACATTTGTGCTGCCTTACTTATTTAAGCAGTACCGCCTCCCTAGAGGCAAGTACGTCTCAGTTTTTTCAATCATATAAGTCTTTCCTTCAGGCTCACAGAAAATTCTATTTAGTCTCCTGTTTTCCTCTTTAAGCCCCAACAATCTGGGCTTTCTGAAGTGCTCTCAGTAAGGGCATTAATGGACCCAGGTACTAATTTTTCCATCTATGCTGTATCATATATTATTTGCAAGACACCAAAACCACAAGGTGGTTGGTGAATAAGATACTAGCTTCATTCAGGAGATTAAGTTCAAATTTAGAGACTATTGGTCATCATCAAAATGGGCAACTGGCCCTCAAAACTGGCCAGTTGTGTAGCAGAGAGGCAGCATATTAAATCCATGCTTATGAGGGAGAACTGTGCTCAATACTCAATACTTAGCATAATGTCTAGGATAAAATTTGTGTTTTCTACTCGATGAATATTTGTTTGACAAAAGAATAAACATCATTAGTTTCTACACAAAAACTCCATGAAAATACAAATTTACTGAGGACATTCCACCAAAACTAAATTTAAGATGGCTTTTTCTTTTTCTGGAAAGCGAGTAATAACTCCTTCTGGCAAACTCATCACTGTGTGGACACCGAATTACACCAAGTATGGACTGATTATGCACATATATTTAGAATGTTGTGATTAAAAAATCAGTTAGATGGGAATGCTTAGTGTATTGATGATATTCTTAAATGTTCTTATGTGAAATCCCTGATTGCAAACTAGTTTAACAATTATCTTGTCAGCCAGATTAAAACTTGTCAAGGTGAGGACTTCATCTTCTCTCTCCTTAATCCCCAATTCTACACATACGTGATTGTTGATAAAGAAATATAAGAGACAAAGAGAGATGGAAGTTGACAAAAAGTGATTACGTGATTACGCAGGATTGAATGGACTTTCCATAACAAATTTTGACCAATTACAACAACGACAAGAGAGAATTTTACAGCAAGAATCTTTACTTTGCTAGTTCTCTAGAGATACTGTTCATTCTTTGCCTTTTTAATTTAATTTAATTTTATTATTATTATACTTTAAGTTTTAGGGTACATGTGCACAATGTGCAGGTTAGTTACATATGTATACATGTGCCATGCTGGCGTGCTGCACCCATTAACTCGTCATTTAGCATTAGGTATATCTCCTAAAGCTATCCCTCCCGCCTCCCGCCACCCCACAACAGTCCCCAGAGTGTGATGTTCCCCTTCCTGTGTCCATGTGTTCTCATTGTTCAATTCCCACCTGTGAGTGAGAATATGTGGTGTTTGGTTTTTTGTTCTTGCGATAGTTTACTGAGAATCATGATTTCCAATTTCATCCATGTCCCTACAAAGGACATGAACTCATCATTTTTTATGGCTGCATAGTATTCCATGGTGTATATGTGCCACATTTTCTTAATCCAGTCCATCATTGTTGGACATTTGGGTTGGTTCCAAGTCTTTGCTATTGTGAATAGTGCCGCAATCAACATACGTGTGCATGTGTCTTTATAGCAGCATGATTTATAGTCCTTTGGGTATATACCCAGTAATGGGATGGCTGGGTCAAATGGTATTTCTAGTTCTAGATCCCTGAGGAATCACCACACTGACTTCCACAATGGTTGAACTAGTTTACAGTCCCACCAACAGTGTAAAAGTGTTCCTATTTCTCCACATCCTCTCCAGCACCTGTTGTTTCCTGACTTTTTAATGATCGCCATTCTAACTGGTGTGAGATGATATCTCATTGTGGTTTTGATTTGCATTTCTCTGATGGCCAGTGATGGTGAGCATTTTTTCATGTGTTTTTTGGCTGCATAAATGTCTTCTTTTGAGAAGTGTCTGTTCATGTCCTTTGCCCACTTTTTGATGGGGTTGTTTGTTTTTTTCTTGTACATTTGTTTTGAGTTCATTGTAGATTCTGGGTATTAGCCCTTTGTCAGATGAGTAGGTTGTGAAAATTTTCTCCCATTTTGTAGGTTGCCTGTTCACTCTGATGGTAGTTTCTTTTGCTGTGCAGAAGCTCTTTAGTTTAATTAGATCCCATTTGTCAATTTTGGCTTTTGTTGCCATTGCTTTTGGTGTTTTAGATATGAAGGCCTTACCCATGCCTATGTCCTGAATGGTAATGCCTAGGTTTTCTTCTAGGGTTTGAACTTGGAGATAAGTCAGTCAGTAGAATTAAAGAAACCAGGTCGGGCGTGGTGGCTCATGTCTGTAATCCCAGCACTTTGGGAGGCTGAGGTGAGCGGATCACCTGAGGTCAGGAGTTTGAGACCAGCGTGGCCAACATGGTGAAACCCCGTATCCACTAAAAAAAAATACAAAAAATTAGCCAGGTGTGATGGCACACGCCTGTAATCCTAGCTACTCAGGAGGCTGAGACAGGAGAATTGCTTGAGTCCAGGAAGTGGAGTTTGGAATGAGCTGAGATCACACCACTGCACTCCAGCCTGGGTAATAAAGCAAGACTCTATCTAAGAAAAAAAAAAAAAAAAAAAAAGAAAGAAACCAAAGTATTTGGGTAATGCGCTAACTTAAGGGCCCTAGTCAAACAGTTTGGCCATATATCATTAACAAGACTCATTCTACTACAACAATCCCATTGACTATATTCAGTCTTTGCCAGGCAAGAACTAGCCTAATTTGACTTTAATCTAATAATGTTTCACGATATAGTCGTGGAACATCTGAAGTTTCAGCTGTGGACATGGTTAACAACTATGATGCATTATCATAACCAAATCAAATTCAAGTAACTATGTCTGATATAAAGAAAGGTCTCTTTTTACTTCAATCATTGCTTAGTAAAAATTGGCTAGTGGTTGAAAATCAAACTGTTATTGCAAAACGTCGTTTTTAGAAAATATCTGGCCCAAATCTCTCATTTTATGAAAAGAGAACAGAGGCTTGAGGAAGCTAAACTCACTCAGTACATTTATGTCCCTGTAGTAGAAGTTAGAGTAGAAGGTAGGTTTCCCAACCCTTTTAGTTCTATAAATATTGATTCTTTGGGTGTCATGTCAACAAACCTTAAAAAAGATAAATTTAAATGGCACAAATGTCATGATTTGAAGAAGAAAACCTTTGAGTTCATTATTTTAATTTGTTTTTAAGTACTATTTTCAGTTACACTGGAAAATCAAAGGCAAGCATATTTAGTGACAATGAAACAGAATAGTTTTTGCTTTCATTACAATGTTCGGTGTTTCTTGATTTTGTTATTATTGCTTCCAAAAGAATTTAATGTGAACTTATGTTTAAATGTTAGTTACTAAAATATGTATAAAATTTCTGTTACAGCATTCATAGAAAAGGCTGGTCCTTAAGTGTTTCTGGTAATACAATTGTCCTTATGACTAATTTTGGAACCATGTGTTTTTTTTTATCAATCTCATGATTATACTAACATAGCTTTCTATATATCTGAGAAGTGTACCTTGGAATCATTGTTTCACACGTGCTTAAGATATGTGAGCAAAATTCAATATGATAGAGATTCTTTTAGCACAGATGCATTAGCCAAGCAAGTCTCTTATGGCTAAGAAGATGGTGAATGCAGTTGAAATTATGATTCTCCATTCTACTTATAAACACTTATCCATTTTAAGATGTTTTCTAAGCTTCAGTAGTCTGAATAGTTTATAGAAGTCATTGCAACAAAATCATTTCTTCTTTTAATGGGGAAATATCCCAGATCCAAGATAGTTCTTTCTTTTCTGCAACTTGTTCTTAAGGAATAAATATAAATGTGTTTCTTTAACGATGCACACAGGCAATTTCAAATAAAATGGGAGTTTTGAAGATAAATTGAACAGAAAGTAGACACTATCATGGTTTAACTAAATGGATCTTAGTCTCTCAAAAAAAAGTCACTATTATGATTGGTGTGAACTTGAACAGATATTCAACTTTTGTGAAATAATACAACCCAAGGCATTACCAGCTAACAGGGAGTTTTCTAGTGGCACTATGTATACTATAATAGCTTTTGATCTCCACTCAAGTACAGAAAAGGGTACCTGTTTCTAGGCCTAATATAAATTGCAGGAAGTAAGATCATTCACTGTGAAAAAGAGTTTTCTAATGTGTTTAAAGAAAAAGCCATGTTGGGTAAAGTTAACTCTGGCAAAAATAGAAGTAGCTTCCATTAGGAGAATATTCAGGCAAAGTGTCAATAAAGAAAAAAATTTAAGTAGAAAGCCATGTCATTGCAGCAAAAGGAAGGGACAATAATTTTCACCTGCTATAAAAATATAAAGAATTTTAATAATACATAGCAAGTATAGTGCAATGGTTCCCAACTATGAGCCTGGCCTACTAGTTGTGTTAGCATGAATTATCATACCTAGTCCTTATTCATACAAATATTTCGAGGGTTATTAATTTATTCTTTTTTTGAGATTGAAAACCTAAATCATAGAGAGTGTAAACAATTTATTTAAGGCCATGCAGCTATTGACTGGAAGAGTTGAAATCCAAATCCGGAGAACCTAATGCCAATGCCAGCTTCTTAATCACTAAAATATCTTACACTGTTATATGCAATTTCTAATGGTTATATAGAGATCTGCATAATAAAAATGATGGGAACTAATGATGTGGAGAAAAATTTTAGAGTTAGAGAAATCTGAGCTTGAATCCCATTTTTGTCACTTGATAGCAGTGTACATTGGGCAAATTAATTATTGGCTGTCAGCTGTTTCATGTATTGATTAAATCCTGGTTTTTAATATTTACTCTTTGTTCACACTAGAAACTGCAAATGATACTCTTACTTTATTTATTTATTTATTTATTTATTCATTCATTTTGAGATGGAGCTTCGCTCTTGTCACCCAGGCTGGAATGCAATGGTGCGATCGCAGCTCACTGCAACCTTTACCTTCCAGGTTCAAGCGATTCTCCTGCCTCAGTCTCCCAAGTAGCTGTGATAACAGGTGTGCATCACTACACCGGACTAATTTTTTTGTATTATTAATAGAGATGGGGTTTCACCATGTTGGCCAGCCTGGTCTTGAACTCCTGGCCTCAGGTGATCCACTCACCTCGGCCTCCCAAACGGCTGGGATTACAGGCGTGAGCCACTGCGCCCTGCCCGAACCATTACTTTAGACTCAATAAGAAGGTAGATACAAATGTTGAAGCTGCAAAAATCGTATGTTTTAGAGCATAAATGATACAGAGTTGAGTTTATATTTGACAATGACTAAGAAAAATCTGTCATCTATATTTCTGTCCAGCTCACAGTTATATTTTACATTAAAATAATAAAAATATTTTTGTATTAACTTTGTTATGAATTTTTAAAAATAAATGTTGAGTTACCAATAGCTTTCTTAGAGTTTTTAGTTCTGTTCTATTATGCTTTAAAAAAGTATTGAATACAGATAAAATAAACTAACAATTAATTATTATAAGCATGAAGCTGTTAAGTGTCTATAGAGGAATCTCTTCTTACTATCTAACCTGTAATGAAAGTTAGGACAATTTTTTATGTATAATCTGAATAACCTGATGTGCAAACTTATTAAAGTGGAGTCAATGAGCTAAATATATTTTCACTTATTGCACCATATTTTTGTTTTGGTTTCTTCTATATTATTTCAAGGGACAAAACGACTCCTTTTTTTCCTAAGAATTTTTTTTTTAAGAAAAAAACTTGCATCATTTTTATGATTTGAAAAGTTCAGCATAATTTGAATTTTTTTTGTTTATTAAGCTACAATGTTTCCAAAATTAAATCAGATGTCTTACACCTAAATGAATGTTTGTGATTTTACATTAAGAAAGATAACATTTTTAAAATTATGACTTGGTTTAGGTTGCAGCAGCATCTTGTGACAATCTAACAAATAAGTTTTGGAAGTTTAAATATATCATAACATTGTTGAGATAAAATTAATTTCTTCTTAGATTAGAACATTTGTCTAACATAATTTTAATTGGCTTGACAGTTAATTTTGACAGTGAAAGTTAATGAATTTTATTTATTCCATATTTATGCTAAACTTTTAAATATATGTATACAAAACATATATGCATACATACACACACATACGCACCTACACATATATTCCCTGGATAATCTCCAGGAATCTTTTCCTATCACTGGTCTACAAATAAGTTGAAAATAGCATGGTGAAAACTTGCAGAAATTTCTAATTAGGGGTTGAACAGTTGTTCCATGACGGCTCAAGGCAATTAATGCTTGTATAAGTATCTAAAAGGTCAGATAGGGCAGAGGAAAAATGCTCAAAATAGTATAATGTTACAATTGTTCACAACAAAAGGGCAGTTCCAGAATTTTTACAAGGAGACTAATTCTGAATTGCTATCATCCCCTCTACTGACATACTTAACATAGACTAGTTTTTCTTCTTTTCAAAGCATGCCTGGTTGTACCAAAAAACAGAAGTCAAATAAGACAAAGTGGATAAAGCTAGAGCTAAAAACCAAAACACAGCCCTTCCCCTACAATAATATAAGAACAGCATTGTTAGAGCAGCTGTTAAGTTTAGTTGCTTATTTAGTTTAGTTTAGTTGCTAAATTTAGCTGCTAAATTTAGTTCCACCAATGACTCAAAGTTGACCTATTCCCTTTTAAAAATAGTCTTTTTTTTTAATAAGCTGGTTTGTCCAGGGTGAAGTTGAGCTGATATCACACATTGATGGCATAGTTTTCATTTAAGTATTTTTTCCTATGATTGTCTAATTATTGAAGAAAGGAGTAAATACATCTAAATTATATTCATTTCCTCTCCTTCATACACAGTTTCTCTAACATTTTCTAAGTTATGCTCAGCTGGCAGCAATACTATGTGTCCTTCTGGCTGCATGATGAGAGTAGATTGTTGCATCCATTAACTTGGTTTCCTCGGTGATTTGTAGTATTTAAGACATCAAGGCCACTGCTTCCCCATGGCCACCGCTTCCCCATGGTCATGTGGTTGAGTGGCAGCTGAAATAGCTGCTGTAAGGATAGCAGAATAATGTCTAGAACCTCCTCATGTGGTCTCTCATTGATTTTATTGACTGGATTTAGTAACATTATTCCCAGCACAGAGTACACAATTTCTTTACCACCCCAGACCATTGTACATCACAGCCCGAACAGTGGACTGATTTACTGGCATTTGTAGAACAACCAAAGTGCATGTATCATTTACATCAACTATTTCATTGTATTTAATTCTAATCCATCTGCCTTCGTTACTTTTTCTCTGAATCCACATATACTTGGCATCTTATTTCTCCTCCCTTTCATGATAGAATGATGGTTCTCCTCTTTTTGAGATATTTCTTTTTTTCTAATTTGATGATTAGCATTTGAACACTTGCCCCCCACCATGTTTTCTTCATGTCTTGTACATCTCTGCCTCGCATTTTACTAATCTGTTCTGCGAAACAGTTAACTGTTCTTTATTTTGAACATACCCTTCAAGTTAATTTACATCAAGAATCATGAAGACAGAACTTTAGTCTTTTGCCAGGAAAATTCTGGAAATGAACATGTTCTTATTTCTGTAATAGAGGCCGCAGCCTAGTAGCCTGCAGTATCTAGACCTATTTCTCACTGATCTCTTCAGTTTTTCTATGCTAGGGTAATAGGAGAGTGCTGCCTATAATATCATCTAACTCTACAAAATTTTGCTCCTCTCTCCCTTCCAAATACCAAGATTCATTAACCAAACTCCCCCACAATTTGTCAAATTATAAAATATGTGTTAACAACCTCCACATAGTCTGATGTCCTTTAATTCTCATATGTACACACACATAATCATGTGCTTGTCATTAATTGTTTCCATCAATTAGCTCGTGTAAAACTCTTATTGAAAACACCATTTCAGTTGCTATTCTATTTTAAGCAGTTACATCAAGTTAGACATTTTGATAAGAGCTTTATATAAATAATTACATTTAATTTTCTCAATTGTCCTATAAGGTAGTTATTAAATTATTGTTACTAGCCCCTTTTAACAGACACAAAAAATAAAGTGATTAAATACCTTGTCTAAAGTTATTCAATTAATAAAAGAAGATGCCAAACCTCTAATTTAAGAATGTGTGATAGAAAATTCTGTGTCTTTATCCAATAATGTACATGGCTTAAACTTTGCTTAGCTGTATTCTATCAAGCATAAAACTCTGTCAGGGACTGCAAAAATAAATATCAACTGGAATTGGAAAAGGAAAAGGCTGCTTTGCCATTAATCAGGCTGGACGAAAGGTTGAACACAGAAAAAGCTAGGATCTAAATTAGTGGAAAATATTATTTCCCGAAGACCATACTGTAAAATACCATAACAAATTCTTCTTTTTGTTACTTCTGTTTGTTTGCCGATGATGCCCCCAGAAGCTCTTTGTTTTTCTTATCTGTTACTGGGAACATCTGATTGCTAAAATACTTTCACCTCATGACAGCACCCAATCCCTAGTTAAACTTGAATCCTTTCAGTTTTGTCTAGAAGCATCAATAAATCCAGAATTAATACCCTCTTCCCTTAAACATTCTGCAGTCATTCAGCAAGAACCAAAACCTTATCGATGCTTCCCTTGCTCTCTCTCATCATGTGACATTCTGTCGTTCCTCTGGAGTTCCCTCCCTTCCTGCATGAAGTCAGTAAAGCTGATTCCCTCAGCTTCAGATTTCCGCTTGGTAGTCTTTGGCTAATTAGGCCTTTAACAGTACTTAGTGAATTAATATACATAAGTAATTCCCAGAGGGAGAAAAATAGTCACTAAATATTTGAAAGATTATTTAGTGCTCTTATAACAAAAATGCATATTGAAATGGTACGCCACTTTCATTTATCAATTTGGTAAAGATAACTCAAAATTTTAAAGACTGTGTATTTTCAAGATCTGGTAGTAAAGGAAGGGATGCATGGATACTCTCATGATGCAAATGGAGTTATTTCAAATTTTCTAAGGGAAATTTGAACTTAAAATTTTTATCTTGACCAAAGTTTTTTTTTTTTTTTTTTTTTTTTGAGACGGAGTCTCACTCTTTCGCCCAAGCTGGACTGCAGTGGCGCTATCCCAGCTCACTGCAAGCTCCGCCTCTTGGGTTCATGCCATTCTCCTGCCTCAGCCTCCCGAGTAGCTGGGATTACAGGCGCCCACCACCACGCCCGGCTAATTTTTTGTATTTTTAGTAGAGACGGGGTTTCACCGTGTTAGCCAGGATGGTCTCGATCTCCTGACCTCGTGATCCGCCCGCCTCGGCCTCCCAAAGTGCTGGGATTACAGGCGTGAGCCACCGCGCCCGGCCTTGACCAAAGTTTTAAGAGGTTATTGGAAAAAAATACGGTACAGAAAAGTTTTACTAAGATATTTATGGTAACACATTTGTAAAAAAGAAATGAATGACATAAATGCTCCCAAAAGTCATTTAGTTAAATAAATAATGACAAATGTATAAAATGGAATTTTATGCCAACAAAAAACCTTTTGTAAATTAATATTTGGTGACATACTATGTTGCTAAATTAAAAAGACACTTCGTCGAACAATACACAGAAGAGATAAAAAATTCATTAAAAACCTTACATTTATGTGTCTGTATGTTGGCATAATATAGAAAAGATATTAATCAAAAGGTTTTTAAAGACCTTCAGGGAAGCGGAATTATAGGTGATATATTCTCTTTGTACTTCATGCACATATATTCCTTTGTAAAATAAAATAGAAAGTTGAAGCATAATCAATTTGAAATCCACAAACATTCAGTCACAATTTTAGGCCAAAAAAAGATGAAATTTTTACTATTTTTATTGGCTGAACTATTACTAGCTATAGTTAGCAATATCTGTATCATATATCTCCATTCCACAAATCTGATATACTCAATACATCTGACTGCATTTTTTCAGTGGAAGAAATAAAAAAGAATTGAGTTAAGAAACAAAGGCCAGTGAAGTTCTGACCCTTTAACCCAAAGTTAATTCATAGATTAGAGAAAAAATATTCCTCTACATACATCTGATTTAAGCCCTTGGATGACCAAAAAACTACGGAAAACATGCTACTGAATGTACTATGCTGCAATTCTCTCTCCAGTTTTCTCCCCCCATCCACACCCCCACTTCCACAGGGGAGGGTGGGCTACTTAGACACAAGCTACTGAACTACAAGTAAAGGCTGAGATAAAGCATAGCCAGAGCTCTCTGCTTCTACCTGTCCTCATTTGCTCATGAGAATAAAAAATAACTGAAGTGCCTTTGGTTAAATATTTCTCAATTTTTGCTTTATGCAGCCCAGGGTCATATACATTTATAATAACAACCTTCTTTAATTCCCTCCTTCCTTTTATTCTTCCTGAATAATTTAGTCCCCAAATCCATTTGATGGGTCAGAGTAAGGTAGGTGCCCATGTGGCAAATGTGTCTTGTGTGTGTGTGGGTTGAAAATTTGGGGAAACAACAGTGACTTTGCATAAGGTATCAGAGACTGAAAGGAGTAAGAAGAATTTCCATGCAGAGGGTTGGCAGCTGTGATAGGAAATCTATTACATCATGAATGAAGAATCAAATAGGTACCTAAATTGAGGTTAATAGGAAAGGGGGCAAATGAAAGTTAACCAATGATATTAGATTTGTATTGGTATAAATTTGTGCTTTCCAATATATGTATATATAGATAAATAAACAGACATATGTATGTAGGTGATATGTGTATACATATGAACATGCATACACATATACATACATAGGCATACACTAGATTATCCATTAAGAGGACATGTGAGTGATGACACTCAATGGCTTCTAGCACTCCTAGAGCCCAGATCTTGGTTTCTAAACAGCATTTTTGACTAAAGAACTTGGATTTCAGGGATGAAGCAGGGAAAATACAAGATAGTCTTGCAACACCTTATTTGTCACTGTATTAGTCCATTTTTACACTATTATAAAGATACTACCCAAGACTGGCTAATTTATAAACAAAGGAGGTTAAATTGACTCACAGTTCTGTATGGCAAAGGAGGCCTCAGAAAACTTACAATTATGGCAGAAGGGGAAGCAGTCACCTACTTCACAAGGCTGCAGGAGGGGGCCAAGCAAGAGCAGAGAAAACTGGTTTATAAAACCATCAGATCTCGTGAAAACTCACTATCGGGAGAACTCACTATCATGAGAACAGCATGGGGGAAACCACTGCCATGATCCAATCACCTCCCTCTCTCAACACGTGGACATTGCAGGTTTCTTCCTTGACACATGGGGATTACAATTCAACATGAGATTTGGGTGGGGACACAGAGCCAAACCATATCAGTCAGAAAGTAAGGAAGTGTTTGAAGACTGATAAGGACACCAAAAAAATGTTAAAGGACTCCCACTGGCCAAATATGGAACAATTTGAGCACCAAGTGAAGATTGTCACTGATAATAACCCATTAAGTAAAATAGAAATGTTTGAGCCTATCCTGATGTAAATAAATGGATATATAAGGGAGAAGACAAGCAGTTATTTTAGAGTAGAATTAAAAATTATTAGTATGGAAAAATGTGGTTAGAAAATCATCGTTGGCACTTATCACCATCCTAATAATCAGGTAAGAAACAGCAATGAAAAAATTGGTGAGTTCCACTCCTATTCAACATAGAATTGGAAGTTCTGGCCAGGGCAATTAGGAAAAAGAAAGAAATAAAGAGTATTCAAATAGGAAGAGAGGAGGTCAAATTATCTCTGTTTGCAGAAGATGTGATTGTATATTTAGAAAACCCCATTGTCACAGTCCCAAAACTCCTTAAGCTGATAAGCAACTTCAGCAAAGTCTCAGGATACAAAATCAATGTGCAAAAATCACAAGTATTCCTATACACCAGGAATAGACAAACAGAGCCGAATCATGACTGAATTCCCATTTACAATAGCTACAAAGAGAATAAAATGCCAGGAATATAACCTACAAGGGATGTGAAGGACCTCTTGAAGGAGAACTACAAATGACTGCTCAAGGAAATAATAGAGGATAGAAACAAATGGAAAAACATTCCATGCTCATGGATAGGAAGAATCAGTATTGTGAAAATGGCCATACTGCCCAAAGAAATTTATGGATTCAATGCTATTCCCATCAGGCTACCATTGACTTTCTTCACAGAATTAGAAAAAACTACTTCAAATTTCATATGGAACCAAAAAAAGAGCACATATAGTCAAGACAATCCTAAGCAAAAAGAACAAAGCTGGAGGCATCACACTACCTGACTTCAAACTATACTAGAAGGCTACAGTAACCAAAACAACATAGTACTGGTACCAAAACAACATAGTACTGGTACCAAAACAGAAATATAGACCAATGGAATAGAGCAGAGGCCTCAGAAATAACGCTACACATCTACAGCCATCTGATCTTTGACAAACGTGACAAAAATAAGCAATGGGGAAAATAATTCCCTATTTAAAAAATGGTATTGGGAAAACTGGCTAGCCATGTGCAGAAAACTGAAACTGGACCCCTTCCTTACACCTTATACAAAACTTAACTCAACATGGATTAAAGATGTAAATGTAAGACCTAAAACCATAAAACTCTAGAAGAAAACCTAGGCAATACCATTCAGGACATAGGCATAGGCAAAGAGTTCATGTCCCAGGACTTTGGGAGGCCGAGGCGGGCAGATCAAGAGGTCAGGAGATCGAGATCATCCTGGCTAACACGGTGAAACCCCGTCTCTACTAAAAATACAAAAAAATTAGCCAGGCGTGGTGGTGGGCGCCTGTAGTCTCAGCTACTCGGGAGACTGAGGCAGGAGAATGGCGTGAACCTGGGAGGCGGAGCTTGCAGTGAGCCGAGATCGCACCACTGCACTCCAGCCTGGGTGACAGAGTGAGACTCCGTCAAAAGAAGACATTTTTTCTTTTGCCAACAAACACATGAAAAAAAGCTTATCATGATTGGTCATTAGAGAAATGCAAATCAAAACCACAATGAGATACCATCTCACACCAGTTAGAACGGCGATCATTAAAAAGTCAGGAAACAACAGATGCTGGAGAGGATGTGGAGAAATAGGAACGCTTTTAAACTGTTAGTGGGAGTGTAAATTAGTTCAACCATTGTGGAAGACAGTGTGGCAATTCCTCAAGGATCTAGAATTAGAAATACAATTTGACCCAACAATCCCATTACTGGGTATATACCCAAAGGATTATAAACCATTCTATTATCAAGACACATACATACGTATATTTATTGCAGCACTATTTATAATGGCAAACACTTGGAACCAACCCAAATGCCCATCAGTAATAGACTGGATAAAGAAAATGTGGCATATATACACCATGGAATACTATGCAGCCATAAAAAAGAAAGGGTTCATGTCCTTTGCAGGGACTTGGATGAAGCTGGAAACCATCATTCTCAGCAAACTAACACAGGAACAGAAAACCAAATACCGCATGTTCTCACTTATAAGTGGGAGTTGAACAATGAGAACATATGGACACAGGGAGGGGAACATCACATACCAGGGCCTTTTGAGGGGTGGGGGGCAAGGGGAGAGATATCATTAGGAGAAATACCTAATGTAGATGACGGGTTTATGTGTGCAGCAAACCACCATGGCACATGTATACCTATGTAACAAACCTGCACATTCTGCACATGCATCCCAGAACTTAAAGTAGAATAATAAAAAAAAAAACTGTTGAGTTAATGTTTCACAATAAACTGGATATTTCCTTTTTTATAAAATTCTTATAAATCATGAATTATATATGTAGTATATTATATATAGAGTGTATATATACTCTGTGTGTATATATATGTGTATATGTGTGTGCGTGTGTGTGTGTGTGTGTGTGTGTGTGTGTGTGTATATATATATGGAACTTGGTAAACCACCACTTTAGTCAAATGGTGACTTGATAATTTCACTTGACTTGAAAATAGTTGGACAAATTAAAATTATTTACCACCTGAGAAGATGCAATGAGAATATAGCATCACTTCTGTGGTATTAATGTCAAAATATATACCCTGAATTTAATTATGAAGCAACATGGGACAAATAAAAGTGGAGCAACATTATATAAAGTATTTGGCCTTTAATGTTCAAAAACTGTTAAATTAATGAAAGTCAAAAAGACTGAGGAACTAATGCAAATTAAATGGGACCCAAAAAATGACAACTAAATGCAAAACACGAATCTGGATTAAATTTTTTTCCTTTTATAATAGGCAATTCATAACACTTAAATGGGGTCGGTGGAAGTAGTAATAGCCTATCAATGTTAATTTTCTGATTTTATGCTTGCTTGTAATTTTATAAAAGAATGCTCTTGTTTATAGAAAATGTATACTATTCAGTTTGGGATAATGGGGATTAATATTGGCCATATATACTAAAATGATTCAGAAAAAAAGTTACTTCAGCTGGCTTGCAAATGTTTTGTAAGTTTCAAATTATTTCACAGTAGAAAAAGTATTAGCCTCTTGTTCCTTTTGTTCCCCTTTCCTCACCCCATTACTAGCACAAAGACAGGTAACCCTCTCCAATTACTAATGAAAACATCCTTCCTGAATTCCCTTTTCACAAAGAAAAACAGCAGATGTGAATAACGTGAAGGTGATCCTGGAAACTGAAGATACGGAATTTTTGACTGTCATTTGGCTGCAACCCTTTAATGACTCCTTAACCCAACCATTCAGCAGTACTGAAGAATTTTAATGTATTTTATCTATCTTCTGGATATGTAAAAGTGTTGTATTGATTGCAAAGTGTAGGTATAAAATAACAGATTTTTAAAATGTTATTCACCATTAAACTGTGAGCTCCGTGAACTTGTATCACTCACTGGTTGTGAATAAACATGGCTATGTGCCCATAAGTACTATGTCTTCCATGCTAGCACATGATAGCCATTCTATATGGTTTATTTAAATAAATTTTGTTATATTCATTTATCTCATATATAATTTATTATGGTAAGTGCTTTGTAATATATTCACTTTGGAGGCATGGTATGCTCTGTTTACAATAAATACTTGTTTTCTCTTTATAAACTGTAAATAAATTTATTGTTAAATACATGGAATATGTGGAAAATTAAAATGAAACCAAAACTTTCCCGTAATCCCATCACCTCCTCTCTGCTCCCCAACAAAAAACTTACCATTCACTTTTGAAGCATTCCCTTCCTTGTATCCAGATTTTACCTAGCTGAGACAAATGTGTGTGTATGTTTGAGGATGTATACGTAATATAGTACATATACATCCTGTTTTTCAATGCAACTTTGTACAATAATTTTATTTAGTGCCCAAAAGTCTCTTTATAAAAGTCATTATTCTTATGTGTACATTTAATTGATGTCTACACATTTAGAGGGTAACAAATTCTATTTAGTTATATCTACCCATTTCTCTTCCAGCAGAAGAGCCTCTAACAGCCCTTGAACCTGAAATCCTTCATAAAATGTGCATGAAATGTGTATGTGATCTCTCCCCTGATATAACCAGGATTAAAAATTATCTACATTAATAACTCCCTCTTTACCATTGTCCCTTCACAGCTGCCTGAATGGAGTGAGCTCGTAACTATAGCCTGCAAGTTTCTTTTCCCCAGAAATTTGCCTTAAAATGTTTATTTTGCCTTAACAATAGTTATATATTTCACAGATGTCATAGTGTCATTATAAAGTTAAGCTGTAAGAAATATTCTATTTCCTTAAGTTGAAAATTTCATCTTTAACCCTGAATTAACATGTTAAGGGGTAAAAATTTTCTCATATACACATGCATGCATGGGAAAATACTTCATAATATTTTTCCTCCTATTGAAACTCAACAATTAATATTAACACAGAAATAATATAGCAAAATTTTGCTTGAATGATTCCATCGGTTTTCCTAATAATACAATCTGATTTCCCAGTCTTCAGAATTGATAATATCAATGATCAGGAAGCCAAACACTCTGCCATGCAAACTTCCTACATGAGGCTATAAATGTAAGAAACAAAAATACTATATTATATTTTAAGTTAAGGTGAATTAATTTAACCTTAGAGATCAGGAAAAGAGTTGATGCAATAGTTGAGGTGAAAGGTGAATTTGTGTAAAGTGTTGGTAATAGAGATGAAGAGAAGCATATTGGGGGATAAATTGGGCAGAAAAATTAATATATTGGATATGGGACGGTTAAGGTTAATTAACTGAAAACATAATATAGTATTATATTAATGTAATGGTATGTTAATTATGTACCATTTACATAGCAGATATTTACCAAGCACTTCAGATACTCTAGGTTACAGTTTCTTTGGCCTTGAAGAATTCATTGTGGAGTGGGCATGTCAGATATGTCAAGAAATATCTATAGTGCAATTGTTAGTCATGTAAAAGAGTTATTAAAAAGTGTAATGGAAACAGATGGAAATTCCTTCCCTTATGACTAGTAATCCCAGATGACTTATAAAACAGAAGGAAGACTTTTTGTGATTTGAGAGCCTGTTGGTTAATTTCTTAAGATTATTGGACAATTCTTAGGCAAAGCCTTTTGCTGTATTTTGACCCAGCAGCTGTCCTTTTGGCTACACTATTAATATGTAGGATACATAAGGAGGGAACATGTGGAGATCAGAAGAAAAATGTACATATTCTCTAAATCATCTTGTCTTTCAAAAGGAACAGTTACTTAAACATTTCAATATAATATAGAAAAATCTGTACATTGACCTTTGCTTTATCTGAGAAATACATTTCAGTTCAGGCTAACTTACTGCCAAAAATTTTTTCAGAAAGCAAAACTGTAAACCAGTATTTCTTGGGTACTGTTCTGTTTGCACCAAAGATATGGTATGTACACATTTTTTATCCCCCCACAAAAGTCATTATGATGTTTCCACCTAAAATCAAGGGAAATTTTACTCTTTAGAGACAACAACAAACAACAGATTGAATAAGGGAAAAATTAAATAAAAAACATAAATCATAGTCTTTTGGGAGACAAGGTATTAAGAATATCAGTTTTAATTTTCCATTCTATGCCAATTCCAGGCAATCCTACCAGAGAATAAAGAGCTGTTCTGACAATACATTCAAAAAAAAAAAAAAAAAAGAAAGAAAGAAAGAAAGAAAAGAAGCAAGGAGTTGGGAGATAGAACTTTGAATATATTATTGTGTGTACTAAGGAGTTTGACTCACGAAAGAGCATCTAAAGTTCTAATGTTCTTACTAGCTAAGGTTTTGTTTACATGGAAACTTTTTCAAATAATACAGATTAATATATATAACTCTAAAAAGTACACAAAAATAAACACGTAAAAATAATAAATAATAGTCTCAATAGCTGGAAGTGCCATGGAGGAATCAAATCAGGATAATGTGATAGAAAGTGATTTAAGTTTCATTAAAAGTTTTTCTGTAGCAGCAACATAAAATTTGAGACCTTAAATGAGAGAGAAATATTCATGCCAATAAGAAGTTTTCCATGCAGCAGAGGACCTTAAGAAAGTCCTTGAAAGGCATTCAGAATAGCATTACCTGATGTACATTTTTTAAAAGATCATTGTCTACTGGGCAGGAAACTGATTATCAAAAGTCAGAAGTTGAAGAAATAAGATCAAGAAAAGAGTTCTTGCATTAGTTGAGATGAAAGGTGAGTTGGTGTAAAGTACTGACAGCAGAGATGAAGAGAAGCATAGTAGGGGGTAAAATTGGGCAGAGAAAGGAATATATTCGATATATGATGGAAATAATGAAAGAATCATCAAGCATGACTCTAAATTTTGTGGGATGAACCAATAAATTAAAGCTAATGTAATGGACTGAGAGGGGCAATCTTGGGGAAGAAACACATAAAGACAGTTGTGGGAGAGGGTTAGTTAAGAACGATCAATAATTTCTATTTAGACATGTGAAATTTGAAATGCGTGTACAATTTTCAAGTAGAGATGTGAAGTAGGAAGTAGTATATATAATTTTGTGGCCAAAGGGATAAGTTATGCTGAGCATAGAATTTTGAGTGCTATTAGAACAAAGATGGAATTTAAAGTTAGAGCTTGAAAAATATTGCTTTGGGAGAGAATGTGGAGACAGAATAGAAAAAGCCCTGGTAGTCTCTAAAAGGTAAAAGCTGGGAAAAGTAAAATGACTCAGGAAATGACCCTAAAAAGGATTAGTTTGTGATGTAGTAGGAACAGAGTACAGTCACACCATGGGAGCCAAGTAAAGTGTTTCAAAGGGAGGGAACGTAGTTTGTACACTCTGGAAAATGTCACTGAGGGAATGAGTAAGATGAAGACAGAGAAGTGGCCATTGAAATTGGTAACGTGGAGGTCATTGGTAATATAGATAAGAGCAGTTTCAGAGTGTTGGCCTTCAATATAATTTATGGTTTTTAATTGGAAAGGACAGAGACATTGAATATAGATATAGATGCAAGTCTATTAGGAGATTGGGAGGCAAAAGGAGAGAGTTCCAGTCTCAATAGTCAATGACAAGGACATAATAGGTACAGCTATTTTCTGTGTGTGTGTGTGTGTGTGTGTGTGTGTGTGCACGTGTGTGTATAGATGTAAAGGCTGGAGTTTAGAAAAGAGAGAATGTAAGAGAATAAATCACTTATTTTGAGACTGAAAAGCAAAGTAGGATGGTTAGGTTTATAAACTTCATATTCAATGTTGTAAAATTTATTTAAATACAGTTCTGATGAGGATAAAATAGACTCAAGTGTGTAGAGTCCTTGAATTTCCCATGTGAGATGTAAGAGATGATCCAAAATTATAACTTTATTACCCATACATTTTGTGGCCCCAGCCTTTTGATTAGTTATTAGGAAAACAAGAGATTGGAGAAAATGAATAAAATGATAAGGAAACAGCATAGGAATATTTTTCTAAATAATTTTTAATCATTAGGATATAATTTATGTAAACAAACTTTACATATTTAAGGCATTCAATTTCATAAATTTTGACATGTATACACCCATGAAACCATGCCCATAATGAATCAAGGTAGTGAACATAACCATCACCACCGAAAGATTCTCTGTGCCTCTTTGTGAATCATCCCTCCCATCTCTCCCTGTTCCCTTCATCTAAGGACAACCATGAACCTACTTTCTGTCAATAGAAATTAGTTTCTATTTACTAGAATGTCATATAATTGAAATAATACATTTTTGGTGTCTGGCTTGTTTCACTCAGCATGATTACTTAAGATTTTTTTAATGTATGGGATTGATACTTTTTTCTATTGGTGACTAGCATACAATTGTCTATTAATTCACCTGATATGGGGATTTGGGTTGTTTGCATTTTTTTTGGCTATTGTAGATAAAGCTGTTATTACCATTTGTGTATGAGATTTTGTATAGACATATGGTTTAATTTCTCTTGTATCAATTTTTAGGAGTGAAAAAGCTGGGTCTTACGGTAGGGTTTAACCTTTTAAGAAACTGTCGAACCGTTTTCCAAATGGTTTGTACCATTTACATTCTCAGTCACTGTATGTGAGAGTTCCTATTGCTCTACATCCTTACCAACACTTAATCTTTTTAATTTCAGGCATTATAAGAGATATGGAGTGGTTTCCACTTGTAATTTTTATTTTATTTTATTTTTTGAGATGGAGTCTCGCTGTGTTGCCCAGGCTGGAGTGCAGTGGCATGATCTCGGCTCACTGCTACCTCCATCTCCCGGGGTCAAACAATTCTCCTACCTCATCCTCCCGAGTAGCTGGGATTAAAGGCATGTGCCACCACGCCGGCTAATTTTTGTATTTTTAGTAGAGACGGTTCACCATACTAGCCAGGCTGGTCTCGAATTCCTGACCTCATGATCTGCCCACCTCGGCCTCCCAAAGTGCTGGGCCACCACGCCTGGCCTTAATTTTTATATTCATAATAACTAATGAGGTTGAACAGTTTTTCATGTATTTATTTGCCATGAACTTTGGTAAAGTTCAAACACTTTGTCCATTAAAAAAAAATGGGTTGATTTCATATTGTTAGGTTTTAAGAATTCTTTACATATTCTGAATACAAATCCTTTGTTACATGTGGTCTTTGAATACTTCTCTCCAGTCTGTGGCTTGTCTTTTTACTGTTTTCATGTTGTCTGTTGAAGATCAGAGGTTCTTAATCTTGATGAAGTCTAATTTATCTTTTTTCTTTTATGAATCATGTTTCTGCACAGAATCTCACCTATTTACATAACTCCAGGTCATAAAAGTTTTCTCCTATAGTTTTTCTAGAAGTTGTATAGTTTTATAATTCCCCTCTGAAACTTATTGTATCAGGGTACATATAATCCCAGTACAAGTTACATATTAAGCAGTGAAAACCATAGCAATAGCACATCAAATCAGCTCAAAAAGCCCCCATCCACAAGATTACTTCCACTTCTATTCCGCAATGTAAAGTCAGCAGTTAAATCCAACACCTCCTGCCATGCAACAAGGTAGAAGGGTGGCTTGGGCTTGTATCAAACAAATGTTTTACAAAAGTTTGAGCCCAGTTTCCCCAAAGTTCCCCAGTATAATCAGACTGATATGTAGGGAAAAACAAGAGAGATCAGACTGTTACTGTGTCTATGTAGAAAATGAAGACATAAGAACCTCCATTTTGATCTGTACTAAGAACATTGTTTTGCCTTGAGATGCTGTTAATCTGTCACTTTAGCCCCAACCCTGTGCTCATAGAAACATGTGCTGTGTGGAATCAAGGTTTAAGGGATCTAGGGCTGTGCAGGATGTGCCTTGTTAACAATATGTTTACAGGCAGTATGCTTGGTAAAAGTCATCGCCATTCTCCATTCTTGATTAACCAGGGGCACAATGCACTGCGGAAAGCCGCAGGGACCTCTGCCCAAGAAAGTCTGGGTGTTGTCTGAGGTTTCCTCCCACTGAGACGGCCTGACATATGGCCTCATGGGAAGGGAAAGACCTGACCTTCCCCCAGCCCGACACGCATAAAGGGTCTGTGCTGAGGAGGATTAGTAAAAGAGGAAGGCCTCTTGCGGTTGAGATAAGAGGAAGGCCTCCGTCTCCTGCATGTCCCTGGGAACGGAATGTCTCGGTGTAAAACCCGATTGTACATTCGTTCTATTCTGAGATAGGAGAAAACCGCTCTGTGGCTGGAGGTGAGATATGCTGGTGGCAATGCTGCTCTGTTACTCTTTGTTACATTGAGATGTTTGGGTTGAGAGAAGCATAAATCTGGCCTACGTGCACATCCAGGCACAGTACCTTCCCTTGAACTTATTTGTGACACAGATTCCTTTGGTCACATGTTTTCCTGCTGACCTTCTTCCCACTATCACTCTGTTCTCCTGCCACATTCCGCTTGCCGAGATAGCGAAAATAGTAATCAATAAATACTGAGGGAACTCAGAGACCAGTGCTGGTGTGTGTCCTCCTTATGCTGAGCACTGGACCCCTGGGCCCACTGTTCTTTCTCTATACTTTGTCTCTGTGTCTTATTTCTTTTCTCAGTCTCGTCCCACCTGACGAGAAACACCCACAGGTGTGGAGGGGCTGGACCCCTACATTGATACATACAGCATTTAGTTTTGGGGACAGAAAGGCCTTCCCCCACCTCCATCATCTTTTTCTTTAAAATAATTATGTTTGGGATAGAGGGTGTGGGAGGGATCACATACTGCAGAAACAGAGCAGTTTTGTACAGGAAGCAAGGCATAGTTACTTTCTGATTCCTGTGATGCATGTGAGCCAACAAAACATACAATATTTTCATTGCATACAAAGTTCTATATTGAAGAACAAATGTCCTGTTACTGATATCATTTATTTCAGCTTTGGGAACCCCTTGATTCTGCAGCCACAGCCAAGTGCTATGGCTGTGGAGGATTTTGGGACGGAGGGTTTTGCTCTCTTTGAGTCAACGTGACTCACCCAAAGACTTTTTCCCAAGGAGTCCACATTAATCTGTGATATCTACTACTCCATTATCATGATAAAATCTCTTAAGATTTCACCTGGTGGTTTTAACATATGCCTAAGAGAGTTTTTTAGGTGGTGGAGATAACTACAAGAATTTATCTAAATTGTTTTAAGTCAGTTTCCACTTTCCTCTGAAGTCACTTTCATCAGTTCTGTAAACTCAGTTTAGGGAAATGGCCCCAATACTACTGAATGTCTCATCTATGGTTTCCTGTAGGAGTTTGCATGCGTTAAGGAAATCTCTTCAAGAGGGCCAAAACACTTATATAGTAGGCAGGATCCACCAAAGAGAACAGTGACAACAAATCTGAGATTTTCACTGTTGTCTCTGAATGGATCTAAAGGTGGCACTTTAGGCTGAAGGACAGACTAAGTCATAAAATAATGTGTATGGGCCCCACCCCATTATCTTCCAATCGAACCAGACGAACTGTTCACCTTTTGCTAGGTTGGCCCATAATATCACTGATTTTCCTCTTTTCATTATAAGTGTAGTGGCATACCTCTGTAACTGTTAGCTAAAAAGGGTCAACCTTCTGTCCATCCATAGAATGATCTTAATACTATTTGTTACAATGTGCACAGCTGAAATTGGCTGTCATGTTAGTGAGGAACGCACCTCACTTGGAGGAGAGTTAGGGTACCATTTGGGCCGCTGTCTTTGAAACTAATTTCAAGTGATCACCTTTGAACCACATCCTTAATACCCCCCCCCCAACATCCCTGATTAATGGGCAATAACATGGAGGAGGTTTTATTGCCCAATTAACCTTGTGATTGGGTCAATGCTTGTTATTGATTCTCATAGTCTTCCCTCACATCCTGTTAATTGCCCCATGAAGCTGTCATCCTTTCTTTTCCAGAAAACCATGTCTCTATTAGCACCCCAATCTTGTTGCCAAAACTATCAAGAACTGTGATGGATCTAAAAGCTTACCCGACTTACAAGTTAGCAAGCCAGCTGCTATATTTTCATGGAAACTCTTAGAAGATATAAAATTCATGGGTCAGAGACAAATAAAAATTTGTTACTCATATCAATAATAGTAGCCAATGTATCAGCATTTTTGTGCAAGTCCCAGAGCCCCAATTCCCACAGAGTAATGCAAAGAGATAGAGAAATAATACCTGCACATGCAATGGGTTGAATTACTCAGAGAAACCCTGAGCTTAGGAAATTGAATTCTTTAATATATTAAGTATGATTGCTCTTTGCTCTGGAGGAAGGCTAAACTTTTCACTATATTCGCTTAAAAAAAAGGTCCAGAATAAAAGGTAGTTGCCTTGCTTATAAGATGTGAAAAAAATGTAAGAAACCCATTAAGAATTGTTTCCCAACAATAATATAATATTTTATTCTGGTTGCTTTTATCACTACATATCACTGTACATATATATCACTTACCACTATATATGCTTAGGCTATATAGATATATATACATATATAGAGAGAGAGAGCGCCTAAGAATATATATAAGAGATTAGAATCCTAAAATCTTAGAAAAACAAGAAACTATTAAGAGCAGCTATTCCATTTCCTGTGTTTGAAAAACTGAGCCTGGAAAAATTAAAGAAGCTGGCCTATAGCCACTTAATTGGTTATATAGTATGAAACCAGAACCTAGGTCTTGCTACTACAGGTCTACCATATTTAATTACTCAAAGTTTTTAGAAAACATTTTAGAAGTGAGTGGCCTAAAACTTTAGTTCTACTCATATTCAAGGTTAAGGTAGGTCTTCATCCTTTGGTTTCTGTAGTTCTCTGTACACCTGCCATTCTGCCAAATATTTAAGCCTTCAATGAATTAATGAACATATGTTTGCAAAACACAAGGAAATAATCATTATTAATAGGACAAAGTTTAGATGTTATTACTTGCCAGCCAATGCTATAGTAAGGTTTAATTCTGGTAAAATGTTTGTCATCCATAGCTGAAAGTCAATTGAGAAAGTGAGTCTTACAATAATTATAGGGAAACTCCATAAATATCGTCATATGCTTAAACCTTAACTTGCTATTTTAGCCATTTTAAAACACACAATTAATGTCTCGCTGGTATATTGTGGCAGCATTTGAGCTCTCGTTTAAGTATTTTAAATAATTGAGCATTAAATAACAATAAAAGCCAAATAGCAGTTTTATAGTGATACTGTTGCCAACAAGGTCTTAACTCAGGAGTTTGCTCCGCTATCAAAGCTTATCTTTCTTCCTATTCTCAGCATTTGCCAGTAAAATGTTCTAATAAAGAATTTAAGCACCACAGTCCATAAGCTTAAATTATTCTCTTACACAGATTCTACCATTCCTAGGGAAAGCTAACATTATTAACTTTTGCTGGCATCTGTTAAAGTGTTCTGGATTTCCAGACCATGTAATATTTGCCATTCATTTGTAGAACATAGCTTTTACGAAGCCAAATTTGGCTGTCTGTACATTTTTCTTAGATATTGAGGATTTTATTTTAGATAATGGGGCCCTTTGTGAGGGATATAAAGTCACCTTTTAAACTTGGTGATAAACTTCAAGTCATTGGCCCATTTTTTGTGTTTCAAGAACAAAAAGGTAAGGATCACTATCAATTTATGACAACTTAGCAAGATTTTTATATGGAGTTCTTTTGGAATCTGTGGGTTTCAAGCGAATGTAACTAACATTGGGTCCTTTGTAAATATAAAGGCTGAGAAACTGGAAATGTATCTTGTTTATGACATGAGGCTTAAGAATAATCTTGTAATACAGAGGTTAAAAATATGAAATTTCCAACCATAATGGTGTATTTTATTAGCTGCAAACCCATTTGTGTAAGGTAATTAAAAATTGGGTTCTAATCTTTCTGTATTCATTACCTCTCCAGTGATATTTCTTCCTCAGCAAATGAAATTTTTAAAATACAAAGTTTATATTCAGTATAATAACTAATGTTTTATATATTATTTCACCTATTCCTCAGGGGCATGCTATCACCTCTTCATCTTTACTATGCTTTGTGTTTTATTTTTACATTTATTCGCACTTTTTCCTATTTCAAATAGTATAGAATGATATCTCACTGTCATAATTTTCTGGAAGATTAAAAAAAACAAGAAAGTTCATATCAATTCATTAACTAAAGCATTGCTTTTCATACTTTAATTACAACAATGATATAGCAGTTACAAGCACTGAGTAAAATGTCCCTGGATGTAGTTGCCAAAAGAGCTAATAAGATATGCAACTGCCTTAATAGAAGTACATTGTCTTTAAAAAATGGGGTATCCCATGTTCTGTATGAGTTATGCCTCGATACCCTTTGTTCAGTTCTGAAAGTGATACAGAAGAAATAACAACATGGAGTGAAGTCACAAGATACTAACCAGGCCATGATGGAACTAAAATTTGGCTACATGAAGATGGTGGAAGTTGGTGAAAGGGGATGTGTGGGCTTTATTTAATAGCCATCTTTATGTGTCTGAAACACTTTCATTAGCATTTAACCCACATATGGGAATCTTCATGTCAGAAATAGAAGAAAAGGTAGAAGTTATGAGGAGGCAGTTTCCTCAACAAGAGTGGAAAGTTTTCAAAATGATCAGATCTATCAAAACTAGAATATTAGTAGTATTCTAATAATGCAAGTGTCCAGAGATGTGTTGAGAATGCTGTCAATAGGGTCCAAAGCTCTAACTGGGAACTTTACTAGACAATTTCTCAGCCTCTCCCAACTCTGCAAGCCTATGACCTTTATTTGTCTTAAAGCTGGTTGATATTTACACACAGGGAGACTCATTTGTGCCAGTAA